>NC_000011.10:53216810-53374258 GCF_000001405.40 Homo sapiens | reverse complement strand
TTTAGTTTTTCTGTGAAGATGAACCCGTTTCCAACGAAATCTTCACAGAGGTCCACATATCCACTTGCAGAATCCAAAGAAGGAGAGTTTCAAAACTGCTCCATCAGCAGGATTGTTCACCTCTGTGAGTTGAATGCAGTCATCACAGGAAACATTCTGAGAATGCTTTTCCTGTCTAGGTTTGATGTGAAGATATACACGTTTCGAAGGAAGGCCACAAAGTGGTCCAAATATCCACTTGCAGATTCTACAAAAAGAGTGTTTGAAAGCTGAACTATGAAAGCAAGTTTCAACTCTGTGAGTTGAATGCAAACATCACAAAGAAGTTTCTCACAATGCTTCCGTGTAGTTCTGGGAAGTTTATCCCGTTTCCAACGAAATCCTCAGAGAAGTCCAAATATCCACTTGCAGATTCTACAGAAAGTGGGTTTGGAAACTGCTCCATCTAAAGGAATGTTCAGCTCTGTTAGTTCAATCCAATGATCACTAAGAATTGTCTGTGAATGCTTCCGTTTGGTTTTTAGATGAAGTTATTTCCTTTACTACAGTAGGCCTCAAAGCAGTCCAAATCTCCAATCGCAGATTCTACAAAAACATTGTTTACAACCTGCTCTATCTATAGGAATGTTCAACTCTGTGAGTCGAATGCAATCATCACAAAGTAGTTTCTGAGAATGCTTCCATCTAGTTTTTATGTGAAGATTTTCCTTTTCCACCACAGGCCTCAAAGCCCTCCAAATGTCCACTTGCAGATTCTAGAATAAGAGGGTTTCAGAGCTGCTCTGTCAAGAGGAAAGTTCAATTCCTGAAGTGGAACACAAACATCACAAAGCAGTTTCTGAGAATGCTCCTGTTTAGTTTTTCTGTGAAGATGAACCCTTTTCCAACGAAATCTTCACAGAGGTCCACATATCCACTTGCAGAATCCAAAGAAAGAGAGTTTCAAAACTGCTCCATCAGCAGGATTGTTCACCTCTGTGAGTTGAATGCAGTCATCCACAGGAAACATTCTGAGAATGCTTCTGTCTAGGTTTGATGTGAAGTATATACCCGTTTCGAAGGAAGGCCACAAAGTGGTCCAAATATCCACTTGCAGATTCCACAAAAAGAGTGTATGAAAGCTGAACTAGGAAAGCAAGGTTCAACTCTGTGAGTTGAATGCAAACATCACAAAGAAGTTTCTCACAATGCTTCCGTGTAGTTCTGGGAAGTTTATCCCGTTTCCAACGAAATCCTCAGAGAAGTCCAAATATCCACTTGCAGATTCTACAGAAAGAGGGTTTGGAAACTGCTCCATCTAAAGGAATGTTCAGCTCTGTTAGTTCAATCCAATGATCACTAAGAATTGTCTGTGAATGCTTCCGTTTGGTTTTTAGATGAAGTTATTTCCTTTACTACAGTAGGCCTCAAAGCAGTCCAAATCTCCAATCGCAGATTCTACAAAAAGATTGTTTACAACCTGCTCTATCTATAGGAATGTTCAACTCTGTGAGTCGAATGCAATCATCACAAAGTAGTTTCTGAGAATGCTTCCATCTAGTTTTTATGTGAAGATTTTCCTTTTCCACCACAGGCCTCAAAGCCCTCCAAATGTCCACTTGCAGATTCTAGAAAAAGAGGGTTTCAGAGCTGCTCTGTCAAGAGGAAAGTTCAATTCTTGAAGTGGAACACAAACATCACAAAGCAGTTTCTGAGAATGCTCCTGTTTAGTTTTTCTATGAAGATGAACCCGTTTCCAAAGAAATCTTCACAGAGGTCCACATATCCACTTGCAGAATCCAAAGAAAGAGAGTTTCAAAACTGCTCCATCAGCAGGATTGTTCAACTCTGTGAGTTGAATGCAGTCATCACAGGAAACATTCTGAGAATGCTTCTGTCTAGGTTTGATGTGAAGATATACCCGTTTCGAAGGAAGGCCACAAAGTGGTCCAAATATCCACTTGCAGATTCTACAAAAAGAGTGTTTGAAAGCTGAACTATGAAAGCAAGGTTCAACTCTGTGAGTTGAATGCAAACATCACAAAGAAATTTCTCAGAATGCTTCCGTGTAGTTCTGGGAAGTTTATCCCGTTTCCAACGAAATCCTCAGAGAGGTCCAAATATCCAGTTGCAGATTCTACAGAAAGTGTGTTTGGAAACTGCTCCATCTAAAGGAATGTTCAGCTCTGTTAGTTCAATCCAATGATCACTAAGAATTGTCTGTGAATGCTTCCGTTTGGTTTTTACATGAAGTTATTTCCTTTACTACAGTAGGCCTCAAAGCAGTCCAAATCTCCAATCGCAGATTCTACAAAAAGATTGTTTACAACCTGCTGTATCTATAGGAATGTTCAACTCTGTGAGTCGAATGCAATCATCACAAAGTAGTTTCTGAGAATGCTTCCATCTAGTTTTTATGTGAAGATTTTCCTTTTCCACCACAGGCCTCAAAGCCCTCCAAATGTCCACTTGCAGATTCTAGAATAAGAGGGTTTCAGAGCTGCTCTGTCAAGAGGAAAGTTCAATTCCTGAAGTGGAACACAAACATCACAAAGCAGTTTCTGAGAATGCTTCTGTTTAGTTTTTCTGTGAAGATGAACCCGTTTCCAACGAAATCTTCACAGAGGTCCACATATCCACTTGCAGAATCCAAAGAAAGAGAGCTTCAAAACTGCTCCATCAGCAGGATTGTTCACCTCTGTGAGTTGAATGCAGTCATCACAGGAAACATTCTGAGAATGCTTCTGTCTAGGTTTGATGTGAAGATATACCCGTTTCAAAGGAAGGCCACAAAGTGGTCCAGATATCCACTTGCAGATTCTACAAAAAGAGTGTTTGAAAGCTGAACTATGAAAGCAAGGTTCAACTCTGTGAGTTGAATGCAAACATCACAAAGAAGTTTCTCAGAATGCTTCCGTGTAGTTCTGATAAGTTTATCCCGTTTCCAACGAAATCCTCAGAGAAGTCCAAATATCCACTTGCAGATTCTACAGAAAGTGTGTTTGGAAACTGCTCCATCTAAAAGAATGTTCAGCTCTGTTAGTTCAATCCAATATCACTTAGAATTATCTGTGAATGCTTCCGTTTGGTTTTTAGATGAAGTTATTTCCTTTACTACAGTAGGCCTCAAAGCAGTCCAAATCTCCAATCGCAGATTCTACAAAAAGATTGTTTACAACCTGCTCTATCTATAGGAATGTTCAACTCTGTGAGTCGAATGCAATCATCACAAAGTAGTTTCTGAGAATGCTTCCATCTAGTTTTTATGTGAAGATTTTCCTTTTCCACCACAGGCCTCAAAGCCCTCCAAATGTCCACTTGCAGATTCTAGAAAAAGAGGGTTTCAGAGCTGCTCTGTAAAGAGGAAAGTTCAATTCTTGAAGTGGAACACAAACAAACACAAAGTAGTTTCTGAGAATGCTTCTGTTTAGTTTTTCTGTGAAGATGAACCCGTTTCCAACGAAATGTTCTCAGAGGTCCACATATCAACTTGCAGAATCCAAAGAAAGAGAGTTTCAAAAGTGCTCCATCAACAGGATTGTTCACCTCTGTGAGTTGAATGCAGTCATCACAGGAAACATTCTGAGAATGCTTCTGTCTAGGTTTGATGTGAAGATATACCCGTTTCGAAAGAAGGCCACAAAGTGGTGCAAATATCCACTTGCAGATTCTACAAAAAGAGTGTTTGAAAGCTGAACTATGAAAGCAAGGTTCAACTCTGTGAGTTGTATGCAAACATCACAAAGAAGTTTCTCAGAATGCTTCCGTGTAGTTCTGGGAAGTTTATCCCGTTTCCAACGAAATCCTCAGAGAGGTCCAAATATCCACTTGCAGATTCTACAGAAAGTGTGTTTGGAAACTGCTCCATCTAAAGGAATGTTCAGCTCTGTTAGTTCAATGCAATGATCACTAAGAATTGTCTGTGAATGCTTCCGTTTGGTTTTTAGATGAAGTTATTTCCTTTACTACAGTAGGCCTCAAAGCAGTCCAAATCTCCAATCGCAGATTCTACAAAAAGATTGTTTTCAACCTGCTCTATCTATAGGAATGTTCAACTCTGTGAGTCGAATGCAATCATCACAAAGTAGTTTCTGAGAATGCTTCCATCTAGTTTTTATGGGAAGATTTTCCTTTTCCACCACAGGCCTCAAAGCCCTCCAAATGTCCACTTGCAGATTCTAGAAAAAGAGGGTTTCAGAGCTGCTCTGTCAAGAGGAAAGTTCAATTCTTGAAGTGGAACACAAACATCACAAAACAGTTTCTGAGAATGTTTCTGTTTAGTTTTTCTTTGAAGATGAACCCGTTTCCAAGGAAATCGTCAAAGAGGTCCACATATCCACTTGCAGATTCCAAAGAAAGAGAGGTTCAAAACTGCTCCATCAACAGGATTGTTCACCTCTGTGCGTTGAATGCAGTCATCACAGGAAACATTCTGAGAATGCTTCTGTCTAGGTTTGATGTGAAGATATACCCTTTTCAAAGGAAGGCCACAAAGTGGTCCAAATATCCACTTGCAGATTCTACAAAAAGAGTGTTTGAAAGCTGAACTATGAAAGCAAGGTTCAACTCTGTGAGTTGAATGCAAACATCACAAAGAAGTTTCTCACAATGCTTCCGTGTAGTTCTGGGAAGTTTATCCCGTTTCCAACGAAATCCTCAGAGAAGTCCAAATATCCACTTGCAGATTCTACAGAAAGTGTGTTTGGAAACTGCTCAATCTAAAGGAATGTTCAGCTCTGTTAGTTCAATGCAATGATCACTAAGAATTGTCTGTGAATGCTTCCGTTTGGTTTTTAGATGAAGTTATTTCCTTTACTACAGTAGGCCTCAAAGCAGTCCAAATCTCCAATCGCAGATTCTACAAAAAGATTGTTTACAACCTGCTCTATCTATAGGAATGTTCAACTCTGTGAGTCGAATGCAATCATCACAAAGTAGTTTCTGAGAATGCTTCCATCTAGTTTTTATGTGAAGATTTTCCTTTTCCACCACAGGCCTCAAAGCCCTCCAAATGTCCACTTGCAGATTCTAGAATAAGAGGGTTTTAGAGCTGCTCTGTCAAGAGGAAAGTTCAATTCCTGAAGTGGAACACAAACATCACAAAGCAGTTTCTGAGAATGCTCCTGTTTAGTTTTTCTGTGAAGATGAACCCGTTTCCATCGAAATCTTCACAGAGGTCCACATATCCACTTGCAGAATCCAAAGAAAGAGAGTTTCAAAACTGCTCCATCAGCAGGATTGTTCACCTCTGTGAGTTGAATGCAGTCATCACAGGAAACATTCTGAGAATGCTTCTGTCTAGGTTTGATGTGAAGATATACCCGTTTCGAAGGAAGGCCACAAAGTGGTCCAAATATACACTTGCAGATTCTACAAAAAGAGTGTTTGAAAGCTGAACTATGAAAGCAAGGTTCAACTCTTTGAGTTGAATGCAAACATCACAAAGAAGTTTCTCAGAATGCTTTCCGTGTAGTTCTGGGAAGTTTATCCCCTTTCCAACGAAATCCTCAGAGAGGTCCAAATATCCACTTGCAGATTCTTCAGAAAGTGTGTTTGGAAACTGCGCCATCTAAAGGAATGTTCAGCTCTGTTAGTTCAATCCAATGATCACTAAGAATTGTCTGTGAATGCTTCCGTTTGGTTTTTAGATGAAGTTATTTCCTTTACTACAGTAGGCCTCAAAGCAGTCCAAATCTCCAATCGCAGATTCTACAAAAGATTGTTTACAACCTGCTCTATCTATAGGAATGTTCAACTCTGTGAGTCGAATGCAATCATCACAAAGTAGTTTCTGAGAATGCTTCCATCTAGTTTTTATGGGAAGATTTTCCTTTTCCACCACAGGCCTCAAAGCCCTCCAAATGTCCACTTGCAGATTCTAGAAAAAGAGGGTTTCAGAGCTGCTCTGTCAAGAGGAAAGTTCAATTCTTGAAGTGGAACACAAACATCACAAAGCAGTTTCTGAGAATGCTCCTGTTTAGTTTTTCTGTGAAGATGAACCCGTTTCCAATGAAATCTTCACAGAGGTCCACATATCCACTTGCAGAATCCAAAGAAAGAGAGTTTCAAAACTGCTCCATCAGCAGGATTGTTCACCTCTGTGAGTTGAATGCAGTCTTCACAGGAAACATTCCGAGAATGCTTCTGTCTAGGTTTGATGTGAAGATATACCCGTTTCGAAGGAAGGCCACAAAGTGGTCCAAATATCCACTTGCAGATTCTACAAAAAGAGTGTTTGAAAGCTGAACTATGAAAGCAAGGTTCAACTCTGTGAGTTGAATGCAAACATCACAAAGAAGTTTCTCAGAATGCTTCCCTGTAGTTCTGGGAAGTTTATCCCGTTTCCAACGAAATCCTCAGAGAAGTCCAAATATCCACTTGCAGATTCTACAGAAAGTGTGTTTGGAAACTGCTCCATCTAAAGGAATGTTCAGCTCTGTTAGTTCAATGCAATGATCACTAAGAATTGTCTGTGAATGCTTCCGTTTGGTTTTTAGATGCAGTTATTTCCTTTACTACAGTAGGCCTCAAAGCAGTCCAAATCTCCAATCGCAGATTCTAGAAAAAGATTGTTTACAACCTGCTCTATCTATAGGAATGTTCAACTCTGTGAGTCAAATGCAATCATCACAAAGTAGTTTCTGAGAATGCTTCCATCTGGTTTTTATGTGAAGATTTTCCTTTTCCAACACAGGCCTCAAAGCCCTTCAAATGTCCACTTGCAGATTCTAGAATAAGAGGGTTTCAGAGCTGCTCTGTCAAGAGGAAAGTTCAATTCCTGAAGTGGAACACAAACATCACAAAGCAGTTTCTGAGAATGCTTCTGTTTAGTTTTTCTGTGAAGATGAACCCGTTTCCAAGGAAATCTTCACAGAGGTCCACATATCCACTTGCAGAATCCAAAGAAAGGGAGTTTCAAAACTGCTCCATCAGCAGGATTGTTCACCTCTGTGAGTTGAATGCAGTCATCACAGGAAACATTCTCAGAATGCTTCTGTCTAGGTTTGATGTGAAGATATACCCGTTTCGAAAGAAGGCCACAAAGTGGTCCAAATATCCACTTGCAGATTCTACAAAAAGAGGGTTTGAAAGCTGAACTATGAAAGCAAGGTTCAACTCTGTGAGTTGAATGCAAACATCACAAAGAAGTTTCTCAGAATGCTTCCGTGTAGTTCTGGGAAGTTTATCCCGTTTCCAACGAAATCCTCAGAGAGGTCCAAATATCCACTTGCAGATTCTACAGAAAGTGTGTTTGGAAACTGTGCCATCTAAAGGAATGTTCAGCTCTGTTAGTTCAATCCAATAATCACTAAGAATTGTCTGTGAATGCTTCCGTTTGGTTTTTAGATGAAGTTATTTCCTTTACTACAGTAGGCCTCAAAGCAGTCCAAATCTCCAATCGCAGATTCTACAAAAAGATTGTTTACAACCTGCTCTATCTATAGGAATGTTCAACTCTGTGAGTCGAATGCAATCATCACAAAGTAGTTTCTGAGAATGCTTCCATCTAGTTTGTATGTGAAGATTTTCCTTTTCCACCACAGGCCTCAAAGCCCTCCAAATGTCCACTTGCAGATTCTAGAATAAGAGGGTTTCAGAGCTGCTCTGTCAAGAGGAAAGTTCAGTTCCTGAAGTGGAACGCAAACATCACAAAGCAGTTTCTGAGAATGCTTCTGTTTAGTTTTTCTGTGAAGATGAACCCGTTTCCAACGAAATCTTCACAGAGGTCCACATATCAACTTGCAGAATCCAAAGAAAGAGAGTTTCAAAACTGCTCCATCAACAGGATTGTTCACCTCTGTGAGTTGAATGCAGTCATCACAGGAAACATTCTGAGAATGCTTCCGTCTAGGTTTGATGTGAAGATATACCCGTTTCGAAGGAAGGCCACAAAGTGGTCCAAATATCCACTTGCAGATTCTACAAAAAGAGTGTTTGAAAGCTGAACTATGAAAGCAAGGTTGAACTCTGTGAGTTGAATGCAAACATCACAAAGAAGTTTCTCAGAATGCTTCCGTGTAGTTCTGGAAAGTTTATCCCGTTTCCAACGAAATCCTCAGAGAGGTCCAAATATCCACTTGCAGATTCTACAGAAAGTGTGTTTGGAAACTGCTCCGTCTAAAGGAATGTTCAGCTCTGTTAGTTCAATCCAATGATCACTAAGAATTTTCTGTGAATGCTTCCGTTTGGTTTTTAGATGAAGTTATTTCCTTTACTACAGTAGACCTCAAAGCAGTCCAAATCTCCAATCGCAGATTCTACAAAAAGATTGTTTACAACCTGCTCTATCTATAGGAATGTTCAACTCTGTGAGTCGAATGCAATCATCACAAAGTAGTTTCTGAGAATGCTTCCATCTAGTTTTTATGTGAAGATTTTCCTTTTCCACCACAGGCCTCAAAGCCCTCCAAATGTCCACTTGCAGATTCTAGAAAAAGAGGGTTTCAGAGCTGCTCTGTCAAGAGGAAAGTTCAATTCTTGAAGTGGAACACAAACATCACAAAGCAGTTTCTGAGAATGCTTCTGTTTAGTTTTTCTGTGAAGATGAACCCGTTTCCAACGAAATCTTCACAGAGGTCCACATATCCACTTGCAGAATCCAAAGAAAGAGAGTTTCAAAACTGCTCCATTAGCCGGATTGTTCACCTCTGTGAGTTGAATGCAGTCATCACAGGAAACATTCTGAGAATGCTTCTGTCTAGGTTTGATGTGAAGATATACCCGTTTCGAAGGAAGGCCACAAAGTGGTCCAAATATCCACTTGCAGATTCCACAAAAAGAGTGTTTGAAAGCTGAACTATGAAAGCAAGGTTCAACTCTGTGAGTTGAATGCAAACATCACAAAGAAGTTTCTCAGAATGCTTCCGTGTAGTTCTGGGAAGTTTTTCCCGTTTCCAACGAAATCCTCAGAGAAGTCCAAATATCCACTTGCAGATTCTACAGAAAGTGGGTTTGGAAACTGCTCCATCTAAAGGAATGTTCAGCTCTGTTAGTTCAATCCAATGATCACTAAGAATTGTCTGTGAATGCTTCCGTTTGGTTTTTAGATGAAGTTATTTCCTTTACTACAGTAGGCCTCAAAGCAGTCCAAATCTCCAATCGCAGATTCTACAAAAAGATTGTTTACAACCTGCTCTATCTATAGGAATGTTCAACTCTGTGAGTCGAATGCAATCATCACAAAGTAGTTTCTGAGAATGCTTCCATCTAGTTTTTATGTGAAGATTTTCCTTTTCCACCACAGGCCTCAAAGCCCTCCAAATGTCCACTTGCAGATTCTAGAATAAGAGGGTTTCAGAGCTGCTCTGTCAAGAGGAAAGTTCAATTCCTGAAGTGGAACACAAACATCACAAAGCAGTTTCTGAGAATGCTCCTGTTTAGTTTTTCTGTGAAGATGAACCCGTTTCCAACGAAATCTTCACAGAGGTCCTCATATCCACTTGCAGAATCCAAAGAAAGAGAGTTTCAAAACTGTTCCATCAGCAGGATTGTTCACCTACTGTGAGTTGAATGCAGTCATCACAGGAAACATTCTGAAAATGCTTCTGTCTAGGTTTGATGTGAAGATATATCCGTTTCGAAGGAAGGCCACAAAGTGGTCCAAATATCCACTTGCAGATTCTACAAAAAGAGTGTTTGAAAGCTGAACTATGAAAACAAGGTTCAACTCTGTGAGTTGAATGCAAATATCACAAAGAAGTTTCTCAGAATGCTTCCCTGTAGTTCTGGGAAGTTTATCCCGTTTCCAACGAAATCCTCAGAGAAGTCCAAATATCCACTTGCAGATTCTACAGAAAGTGTGTTTGGAAACTGCTCCATCTAAAGGAATGTTCAGCTCTGTTAGTTCAATCCAATGATCACTAAGAATTGTCTGTGAATGCTTCCGTTTGGTTTTTAGATGAAGTTATTTCCTTTACTACAGTAGGCCTCAAAGCAGTCCAAATCTCCAATCGCAGATTCTACAAAAAGATTGTTTACAACCTGCTCTATCTATAGGAATGTTCAACTCTGTGAGTCGAATGCAATCATCCCAAAGTAGTTTCTGAGAATGCTTCCATCTAGTTTTTATGTGAAGATTTTCCTTTTCCACCACAGGCCTCAAAGCCCTCCAAATGTCCACTTGCAGATTCTAGAAAAAGAGGGTTTCAGAGCTGCTCTGTCAAGAGGAAAGTTCAATTCTTGAAGTGGAACACAAACATCACAAAGTAGTTTCTGAGAATGCTCCTGTTTAGTTTTTCTGTGAAGATGAACCCGTTTCCAACGAAATCTTCACAGAGGTCCACATATCCACTTGCAGAATCCAAAGAAAGAGAGTTTCAAAAGTGCTCCATCAGCAGGATTGTTCACCTCTGTGAGTTGAATGCAGTCATCACAGGAAACATTCTGAGAATGCTTCTGTCTAGGTTTGATGTGAAGATATACCCGTTTCGAAGGAAGGCCACAAAGTGGTCCAAATATCCACTTGCAGATTCTACAAAAAGAGTGTTTGAAAGCTGAACTATGAAAGCAAGGTTCAACTCTGTGAGTTGAATGCAAGCATCACAAAGAAGTTTCTCACAATGCTTCCGTGTAGTTCTGGGAAGTTTATCCCGTTTCCAACGAAATCCTCAGAGAAGTCCAAATATCCACTTGCAGATTCTACAGAAAGTGTGTTTGGAAAATGCTCCATCTAAAGGAATGTTCAGCTCTGTTAGTTCAATCCAGTGATCACTAAGAATTGTCTGTGAATGCTTCCGTTTGGTTTTTAGATGAAGTTATTTCCTTTACTACAGTAGGCCTCAAAGCAGTCCAAATCTCCAATCGCAGATTCTACAAAAAGATTGTTTACAACCTGCTCTATCTTTAGGAATGTTCAACTCTGTGAGTCGAATGCAATCATCACAAAGTAGTTTCTGAGAATGCTTCCATCTAGTTTTTATGTGAAGAGTTTCCTTTTCCACCACAAGCCTCAAAGCCCTCCAAATGTCCACTTGCAGATTCTAGAAAAAGAGGGTTTCAGAGCTGCTCTGTCAAGAGGAAAGTTCAATTCCTGAAGTGGAACACAAACATCACAAAGCAGTTTCTGAGAATGCTCCTGTTCAGTTTTTCTGTGAAGATGAACCCGTTTCCAACGAAATCTTCACAGAGGTCCACATATCCACTTGCAGAATCCAAAGAAAGAGAGTTTCAAAACTGCTCCATCAGCAGGATTGTTCACCTCTGTGAGTTGAATGCAGTCATCACAGGAAACATTCTGAGAATGCTTCTGTCTAGGTTTGATGTGAAGATATACCCTTTTCGAAGGAAGGCCACAAAGTGGTCCAAATATCCACTTGCAGATTCTACAAAAAGAGTGTTTGAAAGCTGAACTATGAAAGCAAGGTTCAACTCTGTGAGTTGAATGCAAACATCACAAAGAAGTTTCTCAGAATGCTTCCGTGTAGTTCTGGGAAGTTTATCCCATTTCCAACGAAATCCTCAGAGAAGTCCAAATATCCACTTGCAGATTCTACAGAAAGTGTGTTTCGAAACTGCTCCATCTAAAGGAATGTTCAGCTCTGTTAGTTCAATCCAATGATCACTAAGAATTGTCTGTGAATGCTTCCGTTTGGTTTTTAGATGAAGTTATTTCCTTTACTACACTAGGCCTCAAAGCAGTCCAAATCTCCAATCGCAGATTCTACAAAAAGATTGTTTACAACCTGCTCTATCTATAGGAATGTTCAACTCTGTGAGTCGAATGCAATCATCACAAAGGAGTTTCTGAGAATGCTTCCATCTAGTTTTTATGGGAAGATTTTCCTTTTCCACCACAGGCCTCAAAGCCCTCCAAATGTCCACTTGCAGATTCCAGAAAAAGAGGGTTTCAGAGCTGCTCTGTCAAGAGGAAAGTTCAATTCTTGAAGTGGAACACAAACATCACAAAGCAGTTTCTGAGAATGCTTCTGTTTAGTTTTTCTGTGAAGATGAACCCGTTTCCAACGAAATCTTCACAGAGGTCCACATATCCACTTGCAGAATCCAAAGAAAGAGAGTTTCAAAACTGCTCCATCAGAAGGATTGTTCACCTCTGTGAGTTGAATGCAGTCATCACAGGAAACTTTCTGAGAATGCTTCTGTCTAGGTTTGATGTGAAGATATACCCGTTTCGAAGGAAGGCCAAAAAGTGGTCCAAATATCCACTTGCAGATTCTACAAAAAGAGTGTTTGAAAGCTGAACTATGAAAGCAAGGTTCAACTCTGTGAGTTGAATGCAAACATCACAAAGAAGTTTCTCACAATGCTTCCGTGTAGTTCTGGGAAGTTTATCCCGTTTCCAACGAAATCCTCAGAGAAGTCCAAATATCCACTTGCAGATTCTACAGAAAGTGTGTTTGGAAACTGCTCCATCTAAAGGAATGTTCAGCTCTGTTAGTTCAATCCCATGATCACTAAGAATTGTCTGTGAATGCTTCCATTTTGGTTTTTAGATGAAGTTATTTCCTTTACTACAGTAGGCCTCAAAGCAGTCCAAATCTCCAATCGCAGATTCTACAAAAAGATTGTTTACAACCTGCTCTATCTATAGGAATGTTCAACTCTGTGAGTCGAATGCAATCATCACAAAGTAGTTTCTGAGAATGCTTCCATCTAGTTTTTATGTGAAGATTTTCCTTTTCCACCACAGGCCTCAAAGCCCTCCAAATGTCCACCTGCAGATTCTAGAATAAGAGGGTTTCAGAGCTGCTCTGTCAAGAGGAAAGTTCAATTCTTGAAGTGGAACACAAACATCACAAAGCAGTTTCTGAGAATGCTTCTGTTTAGTTTTTCTGTGAAGATGAACCCGTTTCCAACGAAATCTTCACAGAGGTCCACATATCCACTTGCAGAATCCAAAGAAAGAGAGTTTCAAAACTGCTCCATCAACAGGATTGTTCACCTCTGTGAGTTGAATGCAGTCATCACAGGAAACATTCTGAGAATGCTTCTGTCTAGGTTTGATGTGAAGATATACCCGTTTCGAAGGAAGGCCACAAAGTGGTCCACATATCCACTTGCAGATTCTACAAAAAGAGTCTTTGAAAGCTGAACTATGAAAGCAAGGTTCAACTCTGTGAGTTGAATGCAAACATCACAAAGAAGTTTCTCAGAATGCTTCCGTGTAGTTCTGGGAAGTTTATCCCGTTTCCAACGAAATCCTCAGAGAAGTCCAAATATCCACTTGCAGATTCTACAGAAAGTGGGTTTGGAAACTGCTCCATCTAAAGGAATGTTCAGCTCTGTTAGTTCAAACCAATGATCACTAAGTATTGTCTGTGAATGCTTCCGTTTGGTTTTTAGATGAAGTTATTTCCTTTACTACAGTAGGCCTCAAAGCAGTCCAAATCTCCAATCGCAGATTCTACAAAAAGATTGTTTACAACCTGCTCTATCTATAGGAATGTTCAACTCTGTGAGTCGAATGCAATCATCACAAAGTAGTTTCTGAGAATGCTTCCATCTAGTTTTTATGTGAAGATTTTTCCTTTTCCACCACAGGCCTCAAATCCCTCCAAATGTCCACTTGCAGATTCTAGAAAAAGAGGGTTTCAGAGCTGCTCTGTCAAGAGGAAATTTCAATTCTTGAAGTGGAACACAAACATCACAAAGCAGTTTCTGAGAATGCTTCTGTTTAGTTTTTCTGTGAAGATGAACCCGTTTCCAACGAAATCTTCACAGAGGTCCACATATCCACTTGCAGAATCCAAAGAAAGAGAGTTTCAAAACTGCTCCATCAGCAGGATTGTTCACCTCTGTGAGTTGAATGCAGTCATCACAGGAAACATTCTGAGAATGCTTCTGTCTAGGTTTGATGTGAAGATATACCCGTTTCGAAGGAAGGCCACAAAGTGGTCCAAATATCCACTTGCAGATTCTACAAAAAGAGTGTTTGAAAGCTGAACTATGAAAGCAAGGTTCAACTCTGTGAGTTGAATGCAAACATCACAAAGAAGTTTCTCAGAATGCTTCCGTGTAGTTCTGGGAAGTTTATCCCGTTTCCAACGAAATCCTCAGAGAAGTCCAAATATCCACTTGCAGATTCTACAGAAAGTGTGTTTGGAAACTGCTCCATCTAAAGGAATGTTCAGCTCTGTTAGTTCAATCCAATGATCACTAAGAATTGTCTGTGAATGCTTCCGTTTGGTTTTTAGATGAAGTTATTTCCTTTACTACAGTAGGCCTCAAAGCAGTCCAAATCTCCAATCTCAGATTCTACAAAAAGATTGTTTACAACCTGCTCTATCTATAGGAATGTTCAACTCTGTGAGTCGAATGCAATCATCACAAAGTAGTTTCTGAGAATGCTTCCATCTAGTTTTTATGTGAAGATTTTCCTTTTCCACCACAGGCCTCAAAGCCCTCCAAATGTCCACTTGCAGATTCTAGAAAAAGAGGGTTTCAGAGCTGCTCTGTCAAGAGGAAAGTTCAATTCTTGAAGTGGAACAGAAACATCACAAAGCAGTTTCTGGGAATGCTTCTGTTTAGTTTTTCTGTGAAGATGAACCCGTTTCCAACGAAATCTTCACAGAGGTCCACATATCCACTTGCAGAATCCAAAGAAAGAGAGTTTCAAAACTGCTCCATCAGCAGGATTGTTCACCTCTGTGAGTTGAATGCAGTCATCACAGGAAACATTCTGAGAATGCTTCTGTCTAGGTTTGATGTGAAGATATACCCGTTTCGAAGGAAGGCCACAAAGTGGTCCAAATATCCACTTGCAGATTCTACAAAAAGAGTGTTTGAAAACTGAACTATGAAAGCAAGGTTCAACTCTGTGAGTTGAATGCAAACATCACAAAGAAGTTTCTCAGAATACTTCCGTGTAGTTCTGGGAAGTTTATCCCGTTTCCAACGAAATCCTCAGAGAGGTCCAAATATCCACTTGCAGATTCTACAGAAAGTGTGTTTGGAAACTGCGCCATCTAAAGGAATGTTCAGCTCTGTTAGTTCAATGCAATGATCACTAAGAATTGTCTGTGTTTGCTTCCGTTTGGTTTTTAGATGAAGTTATTTCCTTTACTACAGTATGCCTCAAAGCAGTCCGAATCTCCAATCGCAGATTCTACAAAAAGATTGTTTACAACCTGCTCTATCTATAGGAATGTTCAACTCTGTGAGTCGAATGTAATCATCACAAAGTAGTTTCTGAGAATGCTTCCATCTAGTTTTTATGTGAAGATTTTCCTTTTCCACCACAGGCCTCAAAGCCCTCCAAATGTCCACTTGCAGATTCTAGAAAAAGAGGGTTTCAGAGCTGCCCTATCAAGAGGAAAGTTCAATTCCTGAAGTGGAACACAAACATCACAAAGCAGTTTCTGAGAATGCTCTCTGTTTAGATTTTCTGTGAAGATGAACCCGTTTCCAACGAAATCTTCACAGAGGTCCACATATCAACTTGCAGAATCCAAAGAAAGAGAGTTTCAAAACTGCTCCATCAACAGGATTGTTCACCTCTCTGAGTTGAATGCAGTCATCACAGGAAACATTCTGAGAATGCTTCTGTCTAGGTTTGATGTGAAGATATACCCGTTTCGAAGGAAGGCCACAAAGTGGTCCAAATATCCACTTGCAGATTCTACAAAAAGAGTGTTTGAAAGCTGAACTATGAAAGCAAGGTTCAACTCTGTGAGTTGAATGCAAACATCACAAAGAAGTTTCTCACAATGCTTCCGTGTAGTTCTGGGAAGTTTATCCCGTTTCCAACGAAATCCTCAGAGAGGTCCAAATATCCACTTGCAGATTCTACAGAAAGTGTGTTTGGAAACTGCGCCATCTAAAGGAATGTTCAGCTCTGTTAGTTCAATGCAATGATCACTAAGAATTGTCTGTGAATGCTTCCGTTTGGTTTTTAGATGAAGTTATTTCCTTTACTACAGTAGGCCTCAAAGCAGTCCAAATCTCCAATCGCAGATTCTACAAAAAGATTGTTTACAACCTGCTCTATCTATAGGAATGTTCAACTCTGTGAGTCGAATGCAATCATCACAAAGTAGTTTCTGAGAATGCTTCCATCTAGTTTTTATGTGAAGATTTTCCTTTTCCACCACAGGCCTCAAAGCCCTCCAAATGTCCACTTGCAGATTCTAGAATAAGAGGGTTTCAGAGCTGCTCTGTCAAGAGGAAAGTTCAATTCCTGAAGTGGAACACAAACATCACAAAGCAGTTTCCGAGAATGCTTCTGTTTAGTTTTTCTGTGAAGATGAACCCGTTTCCAACGAAATCTTCACAGAGGTCCACATATCCACTTGCAGAATCCAAAGAAAGAGAGTTTCAAAACTGCTCCATCAACAGGATTGTTCACCTCTGTGAGTTGAATGCAGTCATCACAGGAAACATTCTGAGAATGCTTCTGTCTAGGTTTGATGTGAAGATATACCCGTTTCGAAGGAAGGCCACAAAGTGGTCCAAATATCCACTTGCAGATTCTATAAAAAGAGTGTTTGAAAGCTGAACTATGAAAGCAAGGTTCAACTCTGTGAGTTGAATGCAAACATCACAAAGAAGTTTCTCACAATGCTTCCGTGTAGTTCTGGGAAGTTTATCCCGTTTCCAACGAAATCCTCAGAGAAGTCCAAATATCCACTTGCAGATTCTACAGAAAGTGTGTTTGGAAAATGCTCCATCTAAAGGAATGTTCAGCTCTGTTAGTTCAATGCAATGATCACTAAGAATTGTCTGTGAATGCTTCCGTTTGGTTTTTAGATGAAGTTATTTCCTTTACTACAGTAGGCCTCAAAGCAGTCCAAATCTCCAATCGCAGATTCTACAAAAAGATTGTTTACAACCTGCTCTATCTATAGGAATGTTCAACTCTGTGAGTCGAATGCAATCATCACAAAGTAGTTTCTGAGAATGCTTCCATCTAGTTTTTATGTGAAGATTTTCCTTTTCCACCACAGGCCTCAAAGCCCTCCAAATGTCCACTTGCAGATTCTAGAATAAGAGGGTTTCAGAGCTGCTCTGTCAAGAGGAAAGTTCAATTCCTGAAGTGGAACACAAACTTCACAAAGCAGTTTCTGAGAATGTTTCTTTTTAGTTTTTCTGGGAAGATGAACCCGTTTCCAACGAAATCTTCACAGAGGTCCACATATCCACTTGCAGAATCCAAAGAAAGAGAGTTTCAAAACTGCTCCATCAGCAGGATTGTTCACCTCTGTGAGTTGAATGCAGTCATCACAGGAAACATTCTGAGAATGCTTCTGTCTAGGTTTGATGTGAAGATATACCCTTTTCAAAGGAAGGCCACAAAGTGGTCCAAATATCCACTTGCAGATTCTACAAAAAGAGTGTTTGAAAGCTGAACTATGAAAGCAAGGTTCAACTCTGTGAGTTGAATGCAAACATCACAAAGAAGTTTCTCACAATGCTTCTGTGTAGTTCCGGGAAGTTTATCCCGTTTCCAACGAAATCCTCAGAGAGGTCCAAATATCCACTTGCAGATTCTACAGAAAGTGTCTTTGGAAACTGCTCCATCTAAAGGAATGTTCAGCTCTGTTAGTTCAATCCAATGATCACTAAGAATTGTCTGTGAATGCTTCCGTTTGGTTTTTAGATGAAGTTATTTCCTTTACTACAGTAGACCTCAAAGCAGTCCAAATCTCCAATCGCAGATTCTACAAAAGATTGTTTACAACCTGCTCTATCTATAGGAATGTTCAACTCTGTGAGTCGAATGCAATCATCACAAAGTAGTTTCTGAGAATGCTTCCATCTAGTTTTTATGTGAAGATTTTCCTTTTCCACCACAGGCCTCAAAGCCCTCCAAATGTCCACTTGCAGATTCTAGAAAAAGAGGGTTTCAGAGCTGCTCTGTCAAGAGGAAAGTTCAATTCTTGAAGTGGAACACAAACATCACAAAGCAGTTTCTGAGAATGCTTCTGTTTAGTTTTTCTGTGAAGATAAACCCGTTTCCAATGAAATCTTCACAGAGGTCCACATATCCACTTGCAGAATCCAAAGAAAGAGAGTTTCAAAACTGCTCCATCAGCAGGATTGTTCACCTCTGTGAGTTGAATGCAGTCATCACAGGAAACATTCTGAGAATGCTTCTGTCTAGGTTTGATGTGAAGATATACCCGTTTCGAAGGAAGGCCACAAAGTGGTCCAAATATCCACTTGCAGATTCTACAAAAAGAGTGTTTGAAAGCTGAACTATGAAAGCAAGGTTCAACTCTGTGAGTTGAATGCAAACATCACAAAGAAGTTTCTCAGAATACTTCCGTGTAGTTCTGGGAAGTATATCCCGTTTCCAACGAAATCCTCAGAGAAGTCCAAATATCCACTTGCAGATTCTACAGAAAGTGTGTTTGGAAAATGCTCCATCTAAAGGAATGTTCAGCTCTGTTAGTTCAATGCAATGATCACTAAGAATTGTCTGTGAATGCTTCCGTTTGGTTTTTAGATGAAGTTATTTCCTTTACTACAGTAGGCCTCAAAGCAGTCCAAATCTCCAATCGCAGATTCTACAAAAAGATTGTTTACAACCTGCTCTATCTATAGGAATGTTCAACTCTGTGAGTCGAATGCAATCATCACAAAGTAGTTTCTGAGAATGCTTCCATCTAGTTTTTATGTGAACATTTTCCTTTTCCACCACAGGCCTCAAAGCCCTCCAAATGTCCACTTGCAGATTCTAGAAAAAGAGGGTTTCAGAGCTGCTCTGTCAAGAGGAATGTTCAATTCTTGAAGTGGAACACAAACATCACAAAGCAGTTTCTGAGAATGCTCCTGTTTAGTTTTTCTGTGAAGATGAACCCGTTTCCAACGAAATCTTCACAGAGGTCCACATATCCACTTGCAGAATCCAAAGAAAGAGAGTTTCAACACTGCTCCATCAGCAGGATTGTTCACCTCTGTGAGTTGAATGCAGTCATCACAGGAAACATTCTGAGAATGCTTCTGTCTAGGTTTGATGTGAAGATATACCCGTTTCGAAGGAAGGCCACAAAGTGGTCCAAATATCCACTTGCAGATTCTACAAAAAGAGTGTTTGAAAGCTGAACTATGAAAGCAAGGTTCAACTCTGTGAGTTGAATGCAAACATCACAAAGAAGTTTCTCAGAATGCTTCCGTGTAGTTCTGGGAAGTATATCCCGTTTCCAACGAAATCCTCAGAGAAGTCCAAATATCCACTTGCAGATTCTACAGAAAGTGGGTTTGGAAACTGCTCCATCTAAAGGAATGTTCAGCTCTGTTAGTTCAATCCAATGATCACTAAGAATTGTCTGTGAATGCTTCCGTTTGGTTTTTAGATGAAGTTTTTTCCTTTACTACAGTAGGCCTCAAAGCAGTCCAAATCTCCAATCGCAGATTCTACAAAAAGATTGTTTACAACCTGCTCTATCTATAGGAATGTTCAACTCTGTGAGTCGAATGCAATCATCACAAAGTAGTTTCTGAGAATGCTTCCATCTAGTTTTCATGTGAAGATTTTCCTTTTCCACCACAGGCCTCAAAGCCCTCCAAATGTCCACTTGCAGATTCTAGAAAAAGAGGGTTTCAGAGCTGCTCTGTCAAGAGGAAAGTTCAATTCTTGAAGTGGAACACAAACATCACAAAGCAGATTCTGAGAATGCTTCTGTTTAGTTTTTCTGTGAAGATGAACCCGTTTCCAACGAAATCTTCACAGAGGTCCACATATCCACTTGCAGAATCCAAAGAAAGAGAGTTTCAAAACTGCTCCATCAGCAGGATTGTTCACCTCTGTGAGTTGAATGCAGTCATCACAGGAAACATTCTGAGAATGCTTCTGTCTAGGTTTGATGTGAAGATATACCCGTTTCGAAGGAAGGCCACAAAGTGGTCCAAATATCCACTTGCAGATTCTACAAAAAGAGTGTTTGAAAGCTGAACTATGAAAGCAAGGTTCAACTCTGTGAGTTGAATGCAAACATCACAAAGAAGTTTCTCACAATGCTTCCGTGTAGTTCTGGGAAGTTTATCCCGTTTCCAACGAAATCCTCAGAGAAGTCCAAATATCCTCTTGCAGATTCTACAGAAAGTGTGTTTGGAAACTGCTCCATCTAAAGGAATGTTCAGCTCTGTTAGTTCAATCCAATGATCACTAAGAATTGTCTGTGAATGCTTCCGTTTGGTTTTTAGATGAAGTTATTTCCTTTACTACAGTAGGCCTCAAAGCAGTCCAAATCTCCAATCGCAGATTCTACAAAGAGATTGTTTACAACCTGCTCTATCTATAGGAATGTTCAACTCTGTGAGTCGAATGCAATCATCACAAAGTAGTTTCTGAGAATGCTTCCATCTAGTTTTTATGTGAAGATTTTCCTTTTCCACCACATGCCTCAAATCCCACCAAATGTCCACTTGCAGATTCTAGAAAAAGAGGGTTTCAGAGCTGCTCTGTCAAGAGGAAAGTTCAATTCTTGAAGTGGAACACAAACATCACAAAGTAGTTGCTGAGAATGCTTCTGTTTAGTTTTTCTGTGAAGATGAACCCGTTTCCAACGAAATCTTCACAGAGGTCCACATATCCACTTGCAGAATCCAAAGAAAGAGAGTTTCAAAACTGCTCCATCAGCAGGATTGTTCACCTCTGTGAGTTGAATGCAGTCATCACAGGAAACATTCTGAGAATGCTTCTGTCTAGGTTTGATGTGAAGATATACCCGTTTCGAAGGAAGGCCACAAAGTGGTCCAAATATCCACTTGCAGATTCTACAAAAAGAGTGTTTGAAAGCTGAACTATGAAAGCAAGGTTCAACTCTGTGAGTTGAATGCAAACATCACAAAGAAGTTTCTCAGAATGCTTCCGTGTAGTTCTGGGAAGTTTATCCCGTTTCCAACGAAATCCTCAGAGAGGTCCAAATATCCACTTGCAGATTCTACAGAAAGTGTGTTTGGAAACTGCGCCATCTAAACGAATATTCAGCTCTGTTAGTTCAATGCAATGATCACTAAGAATTGTCTGTGAATGCTTCCGTTTGGTTTTTAGATGAAGTTATTTCCTTTACTACAGTAGGCCTCAAAGCAGTCCAAATCTCCAATCGCAGATTCTACAAAAAGATTGTTTACAACCTGCTCTATCTATAGGAATGTTCAACTCTGTGAGTCGAATGCAATCATCACAGAGTAGTTTCTGAGAATGCTTCCATCTAGTATTTGTGTGAAGATTTTCCTTTTCCACCACAGGCCTCAAAGCCCTCCAAATGTCCACTTGCAGATTCTAGAAAAAGAGGGTTTCAGAGCTACTCTGTCAAGAGGAAAGTTCAATTCCTGAAGTGGAACACAAACATCACAGAGCAGTTTCTGAGAATGCTTCTGTTTAGTTTTTCTGTAAAGATGAACCCGTTTCCAACGAAATCTTCACAGAGGTCCACATATCCACTTGCAGAATCCAAAGAAAGAGAGTTTCAAAACTGCTCCATCAGCAGGATTGTTCACCTCTGTGAGTTGAATGCAGTCATCACAGGAAACATTCTGAGAATGCTTCTGTCTAGGTTTGATGTGAAGATATACCCGTTTCGAAGGAAGGCCACAAAGTGGTCCAAATATCCACTTGCAGATTCTACAAAAAGAGTGTTTGAAAGCTGAACTATGAAAGCAAGGTTCAACTCTGTGAGTTGAATGCAAACATCACAAAGAAGTTTCTCACAATGCTTCCGTGTAGTTCTGGGAAGTTTATCCCGTTTCCAACGAAATCCTCAGAGAGGTCCAAATATCCACTTGCAGATTCTACAGAAAGTGTGTTTGGAAACTGCTCCATCTAAAGGAATGTTCAGGTCTGTTAGTTCAATCCAATGATCACTAAGAATTTTCTGTGAATGCTTCCGTTTGGTTTTTAGATGAAGTTATTTCCTTTACTACAGTAGGCCTCAAAGCAGTCCAAATCTCCAATCGCAGATTCTACAAAAAGATTGTTTACAACCTGCTCTATGTATAGGAATGTTCAACTCTGTGAGTCGAATGCAATCATCACAAAGTAGTTTCTGAGAATGCTTCCATCTAGTTTTTATGTGAAGATTTTCCTTTTCCACCACAGGCCTCAAAGCCCTCCAAATGTCAACTTGCAGATTCTAGAATAAGAGGGTTTCAGAGCTGCTCTGTCAAGAGGAAAGTTCAATTCCTGAAGTGGAACACAAACATCACAAAGCAGTTTCTGAGAATGCTTCTGTTTAGTTTTTCTGTGAAGACGAACTCGTTTCCAACGAAATCTTCACAGAGGTCCACATATCCACTTGCAGAATCCAAAGAAAGAGAGTTTCAAAACTGCTCCATCAACAGGATTGTTCACCTCTGTGAGTTGAATGCAGTCATCACAGGAAACATTCTGAGAATGCTTCTGTCTAGGTTTGATGTGAAGATATACCCGTTTCGAAGGAAGGCCACAAAGTGGTCCAAATATCCACTTGCAGACTCTACAAAAAGAGTGTTTGAAAGCTGAACTATGAAAGCAAGGTTCAACTCTGTGAGTTGAATGCAAACATCACAAAGAAGTTTCTCAGAATGCTTCCGTGTAGTTCTGGGAAGTTTACCCCGTTTCCAACGAAATCCTCAGAGAGGTCCAAATATCCACTTTCAGATTCTACAGAAAGTGTGTTTGGAAACTGCGCCATCTAAAGGAATGTTCAGCTCTGTTAGTTCAATGCAATGATCACTAAGAATTGTCTGTGAATGCTTCCGTTTGGTTTTTAGATGAAGTTATTTCCTTTACTACAGTAGGCCTCAAAGCAGTCCAAATCTCCAATCGCAGATTCTACAAAAAGATTGTTTACAACCTGCTCTATCTATAGGAATGTTCAACTCTGTGAGTCGAATGCAATCATCACAAAGTAGTTTCTGAGAATGCTTCCATCTAGTTTTTATGTGAAGATTTTCCTTTTCCACCACAGGCCTCAAAGCCCTCCAAATGTCCACTTGCAGATTCTAGAAAAAGAGGGTTTCAGAGCTGCTCTGTCAAGAGGAAAGTTCAATTCTTGAAGTGGAACACAAACATCACAAAGCAGTTTCTGAGAATGCTCCTGTTATTTTTTCTGTGAAGATGAACCCGTTTCCAACGAAATCTTCACAGAGGTCCACATATCCACTTGCAGAATCCAAAGAAAGAGAGTTTCAAAAGTGCTCCATCAACAGGATTGTTCACCTCTGTGAGTTGAATGCAGTCATCACAGGAAACATTCTGAGAATGCTTCTGTCTAGGTTTGATGTGAAGATATACCCGTTTCGAAGGAAGGCCACAAAGTGGTCCAAATATCCACTTACAGATTCTACAAAAAGAGTGTTTGAAAGCTGAACTATGAAAGCAAGGTTCAGCTCTGTGAGTTGAATGCAAACATCACAAAGAAGTTTCTCAGAATGCTTCCGTGTAGTTCTGGGAAGTTTATCCCGTTTCCAACGAAATCCTCAGAGAAGTCCAAATATCCACTTGCAGATTCTACAGAAAGTGGGTTTGGAAACTGCTCCATCTAAAGGAATGTTCAGCTCTGTTAGTTCAATCCAATGATCACTAAGAATTGTCTGTGAATGCTTCCGTTTGGTTTTTAGATGAAGTTATTTCCTTTACTACAGTAGGCCTCAAAGCAGTCCAAATCTCCAATCGCAGATTCTACAAAAAGATTGTTTACAACCTGCTCTATCTATAGGAATGTTCAACTCTGTGAGTCGAATGCAATCATCACAAAGTAGTTTCTGAGAATGCTTCCATCTAGTTTTTATGTGAAGATTTTCCTTTTCCACCACAGGCCTCAAAGCCCTCCGAATGTCCACTTGCAGATTCTAGAATAAGAGGGTTTCAGAGCTGCTCTGTCAAGAGGAAAGTTCAATTCCTGAAGTGGAACACAAACTTCACAAAGCAGTTTCTGAGAATGTTTCTGTTTAGTTTTTCTGTGAAGATGAACCCGTTTCCAACGAAATCTTCAAAGAGGTCCACATATCCACTTGCAGAATCCAAAGAAAGAGAGTTTCAAAACTGCTCCATCAGCAGGATTGTTCACCTCTGTGAGTTGAATGCAGTCATCACAGGAAACATTCTGAGAATGCTTCCGTCTAGGTTTGATGTGAAGATATACCCGTTTCGAAGGAAGGCCACAAAGTGGTCCAAATATCCACTTGCAGATTCTACAAAAAGAGTGTTTGAAAGCTGAACTATGAAAGCAAGGTTCAACTCTGTGAGTTGAATGCAAACATCACAAAGAAGTTTCTCAGAATGCTTCCGTGTAGTTCTGGGAAGTTTATCCCGTTTCCAACGAAATCCTCAGAGAGGTCCAAATATCCAGTGGCAGATTCTACAGAAAGTGTGTTTGGAAACTGCGCCATCTAAAGGAATGTTCAGCTCTGTTAGTTCAATCCAATGATCAATAAGAATTGTCTGTGAATGCTTCCGTTTGGTTTTTAGATGAAGTTATTTCCTTTACTACAGTAGGCCTCAAAGCAGTCCAAATCTACAATCGCAGATTCTACAAAAAGATTGTTTACAACCTGCTCTATCTATAGGAATGTTCAACTCTGTGAGTCGAATGCAATCATCACAAAGTAGTTTCTGAGAGTGCTTCCATCTAGTTTTTATGTGAAGATTTTCCTTTTCCACCACAGGCCTCAAAGCCCTCCCAATGTCCACTTGCAGATTCTAGAAAAAGAGGGTTTCAGAGCTGCTCTGTCAAGAGGAAAGTTCAATTCCTGAAGTGGAACACAAACATCACAAAGCAGTTTCTGAGAATGCTTCTGTTTAGTTTTTCTGTGAAGATGAACCCGTTTCCAACGAAATCTTCACAGAGGTCCACATATCAACTTGCAGAATCCAAAGAAAGAGAGTTTCAAAAGTGCTCCATCAACAGGATTGTTCACCTCTGTGAGTTGAATGCAGTCATCACAGGAAACATTCTGAGAATGCTTCTGTCTAGGTTTGATGTGAAGATGTACCCGTTTCAAAGGAAGGCCACAAAGTGGTCCAAATATCCACTTGCAGATTCTACAAAAAGAGTGTTTGAAAGCTGAACTATGAAAGCAAGGTTCAACTCTGTGAGTTGAATGCAAACATCAGAAAGATGATTCTCACAATGCTTCCGTGTAGTTCTGGGAATTTTATCCCGTTTCCAACGAAATCCTCAGAGAAGTCCAAATATCCACTTGCAGATTCTACAGAAAGTGGGTTTGGCAACTGCTCCATCTAAAGGAATGTTCAGCTCTGTTAGTTCAATCCAATGATCACTAAGAATTGTCTGTGAATGCTTCCGTTTGGTTTTTAGGTGAAGTTATTTCCTTTACTACAGTAGGCCTCAAAGCAGTCCAAATCTCCAATCGCAGATTCTACAAAAAGATTGTTTACAACCTGCTCTATCTATAGGAATGTTCAACTCTGTGAGTCGAATGCAATCATCACAAAGTAGTTTCTGAGAATGCTTCCATCTAGTTTTTATGTGAAGATTTTCCTTTTCCACCACAGGCCTCAAAGCCCTCCAAATGTCCACTTGCAGATTCTAGAAAAAGAGGGTTTCAGAGCTGCTCTGTCAAGAGGACAGTTCAATTCTTGAAGTGGAACACAAACATCACAAAGTAGTTTCTGAGAATGCTCCTGTTTAGTTTTTCTGTGAAAATGAACCCGTTTCCAACGAAATCTTCACAGAGGTCCACATATCCACTTGCAGAATCCAAAGAAAGACAGTTTCAAAACTGCTCCATCAGCAGGATTGTTCACCTCTGTGAGTTGAATGCAGTCATCACAGGAAACATTCTGAGAATGCTTCTGTCTAGGTTTGATGTGAAGATATACCCGTTTCGAAGGAAGGCCACAAAGTGGTCCAAATATCCACTTGCAGATTCTACAAAAAGAGTGTTTGAAAGCTGAACTATGAAAGCAAGGTTCAACTCTGTGAGTTGAATGCAAACATCACAAAGAAGTTTCTCAAAATGCTTCCGTGTAGTTCTGGGAAATTTATCCCGTTTCCAACGAAATCCTCAGAGAGGTCCAAATATCCACTTGCAGATTCTACAGAAAGTGTGTTTGGAAACTGCGCCATCTAAAGGAATGTTCAGCTCTGTTAGTTCAATCCAATGATAACTAAGAATTGTCTGTGAATGCTTCCGTTTGGTTTTTAGATGAAGTTATTTCCTTAACTACAGTAGGCCTCAAAGCAGTCCAAATCTCCAATCGCAGATTCTACAAAAAGATTGTTTACAACCTGCTCTATATATAGGAATGTTCAACTCTGTGAGTCGAATGCAATCATCACAAAGTAGTTTCTGAGAATGCTTCCATCTAGTTTTTATGTGAAGATTTTCCTTTTCCACCACAGGCCTCAAAGCCATCCAACTGTCCACTTGCAGATTCTAGAAAAAGAGGGTTTCAGAGCTGCTCTGACAAGAGGAAAGTTCAATTCCTGAAGTGGAACACAAACATCACAAAGCAGTTTCTGAGAATGCTTCTGTTTACTTTTTCAGTGAAGATGAACCCGTTTCCAACGAAATCTTCACAGAGGTCCACATATCCACTTGCAGAATCCAAAGAAAGAGAGTTTCAAAACTGCTCCATCAACAGGATTGTTCACCTCTGTGAGTTGAATGCAGTCATCACAGGAAACATTCTGAGAATGCTTCTGTCTAGGTTTGATGTGAAGATATACCCGTTTCGAAGGAAGGCCACAAAGTGATCCAAATATCCACTTGCAGATTCTACAAAAAGAGTGTTTGAAAGCTGAGCTATGAAAGCAAGGTTCAACTCTGTGAGTTGAATGCAAACATCACAAAGAAGTTTCTCACAATGCTTCCGTGTAGTTCTGGGAAGTTTATCCCGTTTCCAACGAAATCCTCAGACAAGTCCAAATATCCACTTGCAGATTCTACAGAAAGTGTGTTTGGAAACTGCTCCATCTAAAGGAATGTTCAGCTCTGTTAGTTCAATGCAATGATCACTAAGAATTGTCTGTGAATGCTTCCGTTTGGTTTTTAGATGAAGTTATTTCCTTTACTACAGTAGGCCTCAAAGCAGTCCAAATCTCCAATCGCAGATTCTACAAAAAGATTGTTTACAACCTGCTCTATCTATAGGAATGTTCAACTCTGTGAGTCGAATGCAATCATCACAAAGTAGTTTCTGAGAATGCTTCCATCTAGTTTTTATGTGAAGATTTTCCTTTTCCACCACAGGCCTCAAAGCCCTCCAAATGTCCACTTGCAGATTCTAGAAAAAGAGGGTTTCAGAGCTGCTCTGTCAAGAGGAAAGTTCAATTCCTGAAGTGGAACACAAACATCACAAAGCAGTTTCTGAGAATGCTTCTGTTTAGTTTTTCTGTGAAGATGAACCAGTTTCCAACGAAATCTTCACAGAGGTCCACATATCCACTTGCAGAATCCAAAGAAAGAGAGTTTCAAAACTGCTCCATTACCAGGATTGTTCACCTCTGTGAGTTGAATGCAGTCATCACAGGAAACATTCTGAGAATGCTTCTGTCTAGGTTTGATGTGAAGATATACCCGTTTCGAAGGAAGGCCACAAAGTGGTCCAAATATCCACTTGCAGATTCTACAAAAAGAGTGTTTGAAAGCTGAACTATGAAAGCAAGGTTCAACTCTGTGAGTTGAATGCAAACATCACAAAGAAGTTTCTCACAATGCTTCCGTGTAGTTCTGGGAAGTTTATCCCGTTTCCAACGAAATCCTCAGAGAAGTCCAAATATCCACTTGCAGATTCTACAGAAAGTGTGTTTGGAAACTGCTCCATCTAAAGGAATGTTCAGCTCTGTTAGTTCAATCCAATGATCACTAAGAATTGTCTGTGAATGCTACTGTCTAGTTCTTATATGAAGTTCTTCCCTTTACTACCATAGGCCTCAAAGCGGTCCAAATCTCCACTTGCAGATTCGACAGAAAGAGTGTTTCCAAACTGCTCTCTCAAAAGGAATGAATGTCCAACTCTGTGAGTTGAATGCTATCATCACAGAGTCGTTTCTGAGAGTGCTTCCATCTAGTTTTTATGTGAAGATTTTTCCTTTTCCACCACAGGCCTCAAATCCCTCCAAATGTCCACTTGCAGATTCTAGAAAAAGAGGGTTTCAGAGCTGCTCTGTCAAGAGGAAATTTCAATTCTTGAAGTGGAACACAAACATCACAAAGCAGTTTCTGAGAATGCTTCTGTTTAGTTTTTCTGTGAAGATGAACCCGTTTCCAACGAAATCTTCACAGAGGTCCACATATCCACTTGCAGAATCCAAAGAAAGAGAGTTTCAAAACTGCTCCATCAGCAGGATTGTTCACCTCTGTGAGTTGAATGCAGTCATCACAGGAAACATTCTGAGAATGCTTCTGTCTAGGTTTGATGTGAAGATATACCCGTTTCGAAGGAAGGCCCCAAAGTGGTCCAAATATCCACTTGCAGATTCTACAAAAAGAGTGTTTGAAAGCTGAACTATGAAAGCAAGGTTCAACTCTGTGAGTTGAATGCAAACATCACAAAGAAGTTTCTCAGAATGCTTCCGTGTAGTTCTGGGAAGTTTAGCCCGTTTCCAACGAAATCCTCAGAGAGGTCCAAATATCGACTTGCAGATTCTACAGAAAGTGTGTTTGGAAACTGTGCCATCTAAAGGAATGTTCAGCTCTGTTAGTTCAATCCAATGATCACTAAGAATTTTCTGTGAATGCTTCCGTTTGGTTTTTAGATGAAGTTATTTCCTTTACTACAGTAGGCCTCAAAGCAGTCCAAATCTCCAATCGCAGATTCTACAAAAAGATTGTTTACAACCTGCTCTATCTATAGGAATGTTCAACTCTGTGAGTCGAATGCAATCATCACAAAGTAGTTTCTGAGAATGCTTCCATCTAGTTTTTATGTGAAGATTTTCCTTTTCCACCACAGGCCTCAAAGCCCTCCAAATGTCCACTTGCAGATTCTAGAAAAAGAGGATTTCAGAGCTGCTCTGTCAAGAGGAAAGTTCAATTCTTGAAGTGGAACACAAACATCACAAAGCAGTTTCTGAGAATGCTCCTGTTTAGTTTTTCTGTGAAGATGAACCCGTTTCCAACGAAATCTTCACAGAGGTCCACATATCCACTTGCAGAATCCAAAGAAAGAGAGTTTCAAAACTGCTCCATCAGCAGGATTGTTCAGCTCTGTGAGTTGAATGCAGTCATCACAGGAAACATTCTGAGAATGCTTCTGTCTAGGTTTGATGTGAAGATATACCCGTTTCGAAGGAAGGCCACAAAGTGTTCGAAATATCCTCTTGCAGATTCTACAAAAAGAGTGTTTGAAAGCTGAACTATGAAAGCAAGGTTCAACCCTGTGAGTTGAATGCAAACATCACAAAGAAGTTTCTCAGAATGCTTCCGTGTAGTTCTGGGAAGTTTATCCCGTTTCCAACGAAATCCTCAGAGAAGTCCAAATATCCACTTGCAGATTCTACAGAAAGTGTGTTTGGAAACTGCTCCATCTAAAGGAATGTTCAGCTCTGTTAGTTCAATGCAATGATCACTAAGAATTGTCTGTGAATGCTTCCGTTTGGTTTTTAGATGAAGTAATTTCCTTTACTACAGTAGGCCTCAAAGCAGTCCAAATCTCCAATCGCAGATTCTACAAAAAGATTGTTTACAACCTGCTCTATCTATAGGAATGTTCAACTCTGTGAGTCGAATGCAATCATCACAAAGAAGTTTCTGAGAATGCTTCCATCTAGTTTTTATGTGAAGATTTTCCTTTTCCACCACAGGCCTCAAAGCCCTCCAAATGTCCACTTGCAGATTCTAGAATAAGAGGGTTTTAGAGCTGCTCTGTCAAGAGGAAAGTTCAATTCCTGAAGTGGAACACAAACATCACAAAGCAGTTTCTGAGAATGCTCCTGTTTAGTTTTTCTGTGAAGATGAACCCGTTTCCAACGAAATCTTCAGAGAGGTCCACATATCCACTTACAGAATCCAAAGAAAGAGAGTTTCAAAACTGCTCCATCAGCAGGATTGTTCACCTCTGTGAGTTGAATGCAGTCATCACAGAAAACATTCTGAGAAAGCTTCTGTCTAGGTTTGATGTGAAGATATACCCGTTTCGAAGGAAGGCCACAAAGTGGTCCAAATATCCACTTGCAGATTCTACAAAAAGAGTGTTTGAAAGCTGAACTATGAAAGCAAGGTTCAACTCTGTGAGTTGAATGCAAACATCACAAAGAAGTTTCTCACAATGCTTCCGTGTAGTTCTGGGAAGTTTATCCCGTTTCCAACGAAATCCTCAGAGAGGTCCAAATATCCACTTGCAGATTCTACAGAAAGTGTGTTTGGAAAATGCTCCATCTAAAGGAATGTTCAGCTCTGTTAGTTCAATCCAATGATCACTAAGAATTGTCTGTGAATGCTTCCGTTTGGTTTTTAGATGAAGTTATTTCCTTTACTACAGTAGGCCTCAAAGCAGTCCAAATCTCCAATCGCAGATTCTACAAAAAGATTGTTTACAACCTGCTCTATCTATAGGAATGTTCAACTCTGTGAGTCGAATGCAATCATCACAAAGTAGTTTCTGAGAATGCTTCCATCTAGTTTTTATGTGAAGATTTTCCTTTTCCACCACAGGCCTCAAAGCCCTCCAAATGTCCACTTGCAGATTCTAGAAAAAGAGGGTTTCAGAGCTGCTCTGTCAAGAGGAAAGTTCAATTCTTGAAGTGGAACACACACATCGCAAAGCAGTTTCTGAGAATGCTCCTGTTTAGTTTTTCTGTGAAGATGAACCCGTTTCCAACGAAATCTACACAGAGGTCCACATATCCACTTGCACAATCCAAAGAAAGAGAGTTTCAAAACTGCTCCATCAGCAGGATTGTTCACCTCTGTGAGTTGAATGCAGTCATCACAGGAAACATTCTGAGAATGCTTCTGTCTAGGTTTGATGTGAAGATATACCCGTTTCGAAAGAAGGCCACAAAGTGGTCCAAATATCCACTTGCAGATTCTACAAAAAGAGGGTTTGAAAGCTGAACTATGAAAGCAAGGTTCAACTCTGTGAGTTGAATGCAAACATCACAAAGAAGTTTCTCAGAATGCTTCCGTGTAGTTCTGAGAAGTTTATCCCGTTTCCAACGAAATCCTCAGAGAAGTCCAAATATCCACTTTCAGATTCTACAGAAAGTGTGTTTGGAAACTGCTCCATCTAAAGGAATGTTCAGCTCTGTTAGTTCAATGCAATGATCACTAAGAATTGTCTGTGAATGCTTCCGTTTGGTTTTTAGATGAAGTTATTTCCTTTACTACAGTAGGCCTCAAAGCAGTCCAAATCTCCAATCGCAGATTCTACAAAAAGATTGTTTACAACCTGCTCTATCTATAGGAATGTTCAACTCTGTGAGTCGAATGCAATCATCACAAAGTAGTTTCTGAGAATGCTTCCATCTAGTTTTTATGTGAAGATTTTCCTTTTCCACCACAGGCCTCAAAGCCCTCCAAATGTCCACTTGCAGATTCTAGAATAAGAGGGTTTCAGAGCTGCTCTGTCAAGAGGAAAGTTCAATTCCTGAAGTGGAACACAAACATCACAAAGCAGTTTCTGAGAATGCTTCTGTTTAGTTTTTCTGTGAAGATGAACCCGTTTCCAACGAAATCTTCACAGCGGTCCACATATCCACTTGCAGAATCCAAAGAAAGAGAGTTTCAAAACTGCTCCATCAGCAGGATTGTTCACCTCTGTGAGTTGAATGCAGTCATCACAGGAAACATTCTGAGAATGCTTCTGTCTAGGTTTGATGTGAAGATATACCCGTTTCGAAGGAAGGCCACAAAGTGGTCCAAATATCCACTTGCAGATTCTACAAAAAGAGTGTTTGAAAGCTGAACTATGAAAGCAAGGTTCAACTCTGTGAGTTGAATGCAAACATCACAAAGAAGTTTCTCACAATGCTTCCGTGTAGTTCTGGGAAGTTTATCCCTTTTCCAACGAAATCCTCAGAGAGGTCCAAATATCCACTTGCAGATTCTACAGAAAGTGTGTTTGGAAACTGCTCCATCTAAAGGAATGTTCAGCTCTGTTACTTCAATCCAATGATCACTAAGAATTGTCTGTGAATGCTTCCGTTTGGTTTTTAGATGAAGTTATTTCCTTTACTACAGTAGGCCTCAAAGCAGTCCAAATCTCCAATCGCAGATTCTACAAAAAGATTGTTTACAACCTGCTCTATCTATAGGAATGTTCAACTCTGTGAGTCGAATGCAATCATCACAAAGTAGTTTCTGAGAATGCTTCCATCTAGTTTTTATGTGAAGATTTTCCTTTTCCACCACAGGCCTCAAAGCCCTCCAAGTGTCCACTTGCAGATTCTAGAAAAAGAGGGATTCAGAGCTGCTCTGTCAAGAGGAAAGTTCAATTCTTGAAGTGGAACACAAACATCACAAAGCAGTTTCTGAGAATGCTCCTGTTTACTTTTTCTGTGAAGATGAACCCGTTTCCAACGAAATCTTCACAGAGGTCCACATATCCACTTGCAGAATCCAAAGAAAGAGAGTTTCAAAACTGCTCCATCAGCAGGATTGTTCACCTTTGTGAGTTGAATGCAGTCATCACAGGAAACATTCTGAGAATACTTCTGTCTAGGTTTGATGTGAAGATATACCCGTTTCGAAGGAAGGCCACAAAGTGGTCCAAATATCCACTTGCAGATTCTACAAAAAGAGTGTTTGAAAGCTGAACTATGAAAGCAAGGTTCAACTCTGTGAGTTGAATGCAAACATCACAAAGAAGTTTCTCAGAATGCTTCCGTGTAGTTCTGGGAAGTTTATCCCGTTTCCAACGAAATCCTCAGAGAAGTCCAAATATCCACTTGCAGATTCTACAGAAAGTGGGTTTGGAAACTGCTCCATCTAAAGGAATGTTCAGCTCTGTTAGTTAAATCCAATGATCACTAAGAATTGTCTGTGAATGCTTCCGTTTGGTTTTTAGATGAAGTTATTTCCTTTACTACAGTAGGCCTCAAAGCAATCCAAATCTCCAATCGCAGATTCTACAAAAACATTGTTTACAACCTGCTCTATCTATAGGAATGTTCAACTCTGTGAGTCGAATGCAATCATCACAAAGTAGTTTCTGAGAATGCTTCCATCTAGTTTTTATGTGAAGATTTTCCTTTTCCACCACAGGCCTCAAAGCCCTCCAAATGTCCACTTGCAGATTCTAGAAAAAGAGGGTTTCAGAGCTGCTCTGTCAAGAGGAAAGTTCAATTCTTGAAGTGGAACACAAACATCACAAAGCAATTTCTGAGAATGCTCCTGTTTAGTTTTTCCGCGAAGATGAACCCGTTTCCAACGAAATCTTCACAGAGGTCCACATATCCACTTGCAGAATCCAAAGAAAGAGAGCTTCAAAACTGCTCCATCAACAGGATTGTTCACCTCAGTGAGTTGAATGCAGTCATCACAGGAAACATTCTGAGAATGCTTCTGTCTAGGTTTGATGTGAAGATATACCCGTTTCGAAGGAAGGCCACAAAGTGGTCCAAATATCCACTTGCAGATTCTACAAAAAGAGTGTTTGAAAGCTGAACTATGAAAGCAAGGTTCCACTCTGTGAGTTGAATGCAAACATCACAAAGAAGTTTCTCAGAATGCTTCCATGTAGTTCTAGGAAGTTTATCCCGTTTCCAACGAAATCCTCAGAGAAGTCCAAATATCCACTTGCAGATTCTACAGAAAGTGTGTTTGGAAACTGCTCCATCTCAAGGAATGTTCAGCTCTGTTAGTTCAATCCAATGATCACTAAGAATTGTCTGTGAATGCTTCCGTTTGGTTTTTAGATGAAGTTATTTCCTTTACTACAGTAGGCCTCAAAGCAGTCCAAATCTCCAATCGCAGATTCTACAAAAAGATTGTTTACAACCTGCTCTATCTATAGGAATGTTCAACTCTGTGAGTCGAATGCAATCATCACAAAGTAGTTTCTGAGAATGCTTCCATCTAGTTTTTATGTGAAGATTTTCCTTTTCCACCACAGGCCTCAAAGCCCTCCAAATGTCCACTTGCAGATTCTAGAAAAAGAGGGTTTCAGAGCTGCTCTGTCAAGAGGAAAGTTCAATTCTTGAAGTGGAACACAAACATCGCAAAGCAGTTTCTGAGAATGCTTCTGTTTAGTTTTTCTGTGAAGATGAACCCGTTTCCAACGAAATCTTCACAGAGGTCCACACATCCACTTGCAGAATCCAAAGAAAGAGAGTTTCAAAACTGCTCCATCAGCAGGATTGTTCACCTCTGTGAGTTGAATGCAGTCATCACAGGAAACATTCTGAGAATGCTTCTGTCTAGGTTTGATGTGAAGATATACCCGTTTCGAAGGAAGGCCACAAAGTGGTCCAAATATCCACTTGCAGATTCTACAAAAAGAGTGTTTGAAAGCTGAACTATAAAAGCAAGGTTCAACTCTGTGAGTTGAATGCAAACATCACAAAGAAGTTTCTCAGAATGCTTCCGTGTAGTTCTGGGAAGTTTATCCTGTTTCCAACGAAATCCTCAGAGAGGTCCAAATATCCAGTTGCAGATTCTACAGAAAGTGTGTTTGGAAACTGCGCCATCTAAAGGAATGTTCAGCTCTGTTGGTTCAATCCAATGATCACTAAGAATTGTCTGTGAATGCTTCCGTTTGGTTTTTAGATGAAGTTATTTCCTTTACTACAGTAGGCCTCAAAGTAGTCCAAATCTCTAATCGCAGATTCTACAAAGAGATTGTTTACAACCTGCTCTCTCTATAGGAATGTTCAACTCTGTGAGTCGAATGCAATCATCACAAAGTAGTTTCTGAGAATGCTTCCATTTAGTTTTTATGTGAAGATTTTCCTTTTCCACCACAGGCCTCAAAGCCCTCCAAATGTCCACTTGCAGATTCTAGAATAAGAGGGTTTCAGAGCTGCTCTGTCAAGAGGAAAGTTCAATTCCTGAAGTGGAACACAAACATCACAAAGCAGTTTCCGAGAATGCTTCTGTTTAGTTTTTCTGTGAAGATAAACCCGTTTCCAATGAAATCTTCACAGAGGTCCACATATCCACTTGCAGAATCCAAAGAAAGAGAGTTTCAAAACTGCTCCATCAGCAGGATTGTTCACCTCTGTGAGTTGAATGCAGTCATCACAGGAAACATTCTGAGAAAGCTTCTGTCTAGGTTTGATGTGAAGATATACCCGTTTCGAAGGAAGGCCACAAAGTGGTCCAAATATCCACTTGCAGATTCTACAAAAAGAGTGTTTGAAAGCTGAACTATGAAAGCAAGGTTCAACTCTGTGAGTTGAATGCAAACATCACAAAGAAGTTTCTCACAATGCTTCCCTGTAGTTCTGGGAAGCATATCCCGTTTCCAACGAAATCCTCAGAGAAGTCCAAATATCCACTTGCAGATTCTACAGAAAGTGTGTTTGGAAACTGCTCCATCTAAAGGAATGTTCAGCTCTGTTAGTTCAATCCAATGATCACTAAGAATTGTTCTGTGAATGCTTCCGTTTGGTTTTTAGATGAAGCTATTTCCTTTACTACAGTAGGCCTCAAAGCAGTCCAAATCTCCAATCGCAGATTCTACAAAAAGATTGTTTACAACCTGCTCTATCTATAGGAATGTTCAACTCTGTGAGTCGAATGCAATCATCACAAAGTAGTTTCTGAGAATGCTTCCATCTAGTTTTTATGTGAAGATTTTCCTTTTCCACCACAGGCCTCAAAGCCCTCCAAATGTCCACTTGCAGATTCTAGAAAAAGAGTGTTTCAGAGCTACTCTGTCAAGAGGAAAGTTCAATTCCTGAAGTGGAACACAAACATCACAAAGCAGTTTCTGAGAATGCTTCTGTTTAGTTTTTCTGTGAAGATGAACCCGTTTCCAACGAAATCTTCACAGAGGTCCACATATCAACTTGCAGAATCCAAAGAAAGAGAGTTTCAAAACTGCTCCATCAGCAGGATTGTTCACCTCTGTGAGTTGAATGCAGTCATCACAGGAAACATTCTGAGAATGCTTCTGTCTAGGTTTGATGTGAAGATATACCCGTTTCGAAGGAAGGCCACAAAGTGGTCCAAATATCCACTTGCAGATTCTACAAAAAGAGTGTTTGAAAGCTGAACTATGAAAGCAAGGTTCAACTCCGTGAGTTGAATGCAAACATCACAAAGAAGTTTCTCAGAATACTTCCGTGTAGTTCTGGGAAGTTTATCCCGTTTCCAAAGAAATCCTCAGAGAGGTCCAAATATCCACTTGGAGATTCTACAGAAAGTGTGTTTGGAAACTGCTCCATCTATAGGAATGTTCAGCTCTGTTAGTTCAATCCAATGATCACTAAGAATTGTCTGTGAATGCTTCCGTTTGGTTTTTAGATGAAGTTATTTCCTTTACTACAGTAGGCCTCAAAGCAGTCCAAATCTCCAATCGCAGATTCTACAAAAAGATTGTTTACAACCTGCTCTATCTATAGGAATGTTGAACTCTGTGAGTCGAATGCAATCATCACAAAGTAGTTTCTGAGAATGCTTCCATCTAGTTTTTATGTGAAGATTTTCCTTTTCCACCACAGGCCTCAAAGCCCTCCAAATGTCCACTTGCAGATTCTAGAATAAGAGGATTTCAGAGCTGCTCTGTCAAGAGGAAAGTTCAATTCCTGAAGTGGAACACAAACATCACAAAGCAGTTTCTGAGAATGCTCCTGTTTAGTTTTTCTGTGAAGATGAACCCGTTTCCAACGAAATCTTCACAGAGGTCCACATATCCACTTGCAGAATCCAAAGAAAGAGAGTTTCAAAACTGCTCCATCAGCAGGATTGTTCACCTCTGTGAGTTGAATGCAGTCATCACAGGAAACATTCTGAGAATGCTTCTGTCTAGGTTTGATGTGAAGATATACCCGTTTCGAAGGAAGGCCACAAAGTGGTCCAAATATCCACTTGCAGATTCTACAAAAAGAGTGTTTGAAAGCTGAACTATGAAAGCAAGGTTCAACTCTGTGAGTTGAATGCAAACATCACAAAGAAGTTTCTCACAATGCTTCCGTGTAGTTCTGGGAAGTTTATCCCGTTTCCAACGAAATCCTCAGAGAAGTCCAAATATCCACTTGCAGATTCTACAGAAAGTGGGTTTGGAAACTGCTCCATCTAAAGGAATGTTCAGCTCTGTTAGTTCAATCCAATGATCACTAAGAATTGTCTGTGAATGCTTCCGTTTGGTTTTTAGATGAAGTTATTTCCTTTACTACAGTAGGCCTCAAAGCAGTCCAAATCTCCAATCGCAGATTCTACAAAAAGATTGTTTACAACCTGCTCTATCTATAGGAATGTTCAACTCTGTGAGTCGAATGCAATCATCACAAAGTAGTTTCTGAGAATGCTTCCATCTAGTTTTTATGTGAAGATTTTCCTTTTCCACCTCAGGCCTCAAAGCCCTCCAAATGTCCACTTGCAGATTCTAGAATAAGAGGGTTGCAGAGCTGCTCTGTGAAGAGGAAAGTTCAATTCCTGAAGTGGAACACAAACATCACAAAGCAGTTTCTGAGAATGCTTCTGTTTAGTTTTTCTGTGAAGATGAACCCGTTTCCAACGAAATCTTCACAGAGGTCCACATATCCACTTGCAGAATCCAAAGAAAGAGAGTTTCAAAACTGCTCCATCAGCAGGATTGTTCACCTCTGTGAGTTGAATGCAGTCATCACAGGAAACATTCTGAGAATGCTTCTGTCTAGGTTTGATGTGAAGATATACCCGTTTCGAAGGAAGGCCACAAAGTGGTCCAAATATCCACTTGCAGATTCTACAAAAAGAGTGTTTGAAAGCTGAACTATGAAAGCAAGGTTCAACTCTGTGAGTTGAATGCAAACATCACAAAGAAGTTTCTCAGAATGCTTCCGTGTAGTTCTGGGAAGTTTATCCCGTTTCCAACGAAATCCTCAGAGAAGTCCAAATATCCACTTGCAGATTCTACAGAAAGTGTGTTTGGAAACTGCGCCATCTAAAGGAATGTTCAGCTCTGTTAGTTCAATGCAATGATCACTAAGAATTGTCTGTGAATGCTTCCGTTTGGTTTTTAGATGAAGTTATTTCCTTTACTACAGTAGGCCTCAAAGCAGTCCAAATCTCCAATCGCAGATTCTACAAAAAGATTGTTTACAACCTGCTCTATCTATAGGAATGTTCAACTCTGTGAGTCGAATGCAATCATCACAAAGTAGTTTCTGAGAATGCTTCCATCTAGTTTTTATGTGAAGATTTTCCTTTTCCACCACAGGCCTCAAAGCCCTCCAAATGTCCACTTGCAGATTCTAGAATAAGAGGGTTTCAGAGCTGCTCTGTCAAGAGGAAAGTTCAATTCCTGAAGTGGAACACAAACATCACAAAGCAGTTTCTGAGAATGCTCCTGTTTAGTTTTTCTGTGAAGATGAACCCGTTTCCAACGAAATCTTCACAGAGGTCCACATATCCACTTGCAGAATCCAAAGAAAGAGAGTTTCAAAACTGCTCCATCAGCAGGATTGTTCACCTCTGTGAGTTGAATGCAGTCATCACAGGAAACATTCTGAGAATGCTTCTGTCTAGGTTTGATGTGAAGATATACCCGTTTCGAAGGAAGGCCACAAAGTGGTCCAAATATCCACTTGCAGATTCTACAAAAAGAGTGTTTGAAAGCTGAACTATGAAAGCAAGGTTCAACTCTGTGAGTTGAATGCAAACATCACAAAGAAGTTTCTCAGAATGCTTCCGTGTAGTTCTGGGAAGTTTATCCCGTTTCCAAAGAAATCCTCAGAGAGGTCCAAATATCCACTTGCAGATTCTACAGAAAGTGTGTTTGGAAACTGCTCCATCTAAAGGAATGTTCAGCTCTGTTAGTTCAATCCAATGATCACTAAGAATTGTCTGTGAATGCTTCCGTTTGGTTTTAGATGAAGTTATTTCCTTTACTACAGTAGGCCTCAAAGCAGTCCAAATCTCCAATCGCAGATTCTTGAAAAAGATTGTTTACAACCTGCTCTATCTATAGGAATGTTCAACTCTGTGAGTCGAATGCAATCATCACAAAGTAGTTTCTGAGAATGCTTCCATCTAGTTTTAATGTGAAGATTTTCCTTTTCCACCACAGGCCTCAAAGCCCTCCAAATGTCCACTTGCAGGTTCTAGAAAAAGAGGGTTTCAGAGCTGCTCTGTCAAGAGGAAAGTTCAATTCTTGAAGTGGAACACAAACATCACAAAGCAGTTTCTGAGAATGCTCCTGTTTAGTTTTTCTGTGAAGATGAACCCGTTTCCAACGAAATCTTCACAGAGGTCCACATATCCACTTGCAGAATCCAAAGAAAGAGAGTTTCAAAACTGCTCCATCAGCAGGATTGTTCACCTCTGTGAGTTGAATGCAGTCATCACAGGAAACATTCTGAGAATGCTTCTGTCTAGGTTTGATGTGAAGATATACCCGTTTCGAAGGAAGGCCACAAAGTGGTCCAAATATCCACTTGCAGATTCTACAAAAAGAGTGTTTGAAAGCTGAACTATGAAAGCAAGGTTCAACTCTGTGAGTTGAATGCAAACATCACAAAGATGTTTCTCACAATGCTTCCGTGTAGTTCTGGGAAGTTTATCCCGTTTCCAACGAAATCCTCAGAGAGGTCCAAATATCCACTTGCAGATTCTACAGAAAGTGTGTTTGGAAACTGCGCCATCTAAAGGAATGTTCAGCTCTGTTAGTTCAATGCAATGATCACTAAGAATTGTCTGTGAATGCTTCCGTTTGGTTTTTAGATGAAGTTATTTCCTTTACTACAGTAGGCCTCAAAGCAGTCCAAATCTCCAATCGCAGATTCTACAAAAAGATTGTTTACAACCTGCTCTATCTATAGGAATGTTCAACTCTGTGAGTCGAATGCAATCATCACAAAGTAGTTTCTGAGAATGCTTCCATCTAGTTTTTATGTGAAGATTTTCCTTTTCCAACACAGGCCTCAATGCCCTCCAAATGTCCACTTGCAGATTCTAGAAAAAGAGGGTTTCAGAGCTGCTCTGTCAAGAGGAAAGTTCAATTCTTGAAGTGGAACACAAACATCACAAAGCAGTTTCTGAGAATGCTCCTGTTTAGTTTTTCTGTGAAGATGAACCCGTTTCCAACGAAATCTTCACAGAGGTCCACATATCCACTTGCAGAATCCAAAGAAAGAGAGTTTCAAAACTGCTCCATCAGCAGGATTGTTCACCTCTGTGAGTTGAATGCAGTCATCACAGGAAACATTCTGAGAATGCTTCCTGTCTAGGTTTGATGTGAAGATATACCCGTTTCGAAGGAAGGCCACAAAGTGGTCTAAATATCCACTTGCAGATTCTACAAAAAGAGTGTTTGAAAGCTGAACTATGAAAGCAAGGTTCAACTCTGTGAGTTGAATGCAAACATCACAAAGAAGTTTCTCAGCATGCTTCCGTGTAGTTCTGGGAAGTTTATCCCGTTTCCAACGAAATCCTCAGAGAGGTCCAAATATCCACTTGCAGATTCTACAGAAAGTGTGTTTGGAAACTGCACCATCTAAAGCAATGTTCAGCTCTGTTAGTTCAATGCAATGATCACTAAGAATTGTCTGTGAATGCTTCCGTTTGGTTTTTAGATGAAGTTATTTCCTTTACTACAGTAGGCCTCAATGCAGTCCAAATCTCCAATCGCAGATTCTACAAAAAGATTGTTTAAAACCTGCTCTATCTATAGGAATGTTCAACTCTGTGAGTCGAATGCAATCATCACAAAGTAGTTTCTGAGAATGCTTCCATCTAGTTTTTATGTGAAGATTTTCCTTTTCCACCACAGGCCTCAAAGCCCTCCAAATGTCCACTTGCAGATTCTAGAATAAGAGGATTTCAGAGCTGCTCTGTCAAGAGGAAAGTTCAATTCCTGAAGTGGAACACAAACATCACAAAGCAGTTTCTGAGAATGCTCCTGTTTAGTTTTTCTGTGAAGATGAACCCGTTTCCAAAGAAATCTTCACAGAGGTCCACATATCCACCTGCAGAATCCAAAGAAAGAGAGTTTCAAAACTGCTCCATCAACAGGATTGTTTACCTCTGTGAGTTGAATGCAGTCATCACAGGAAACATTCTGAGAATGCTTCTGTCTAGGTTTGATGTGAAGATATACCCGTTTGGAAGGAAGGCCACAAAGTGGTCCAAATATCCACTTGCAGATTCTACAAAAAGAGTGATTGAAAGCTGAACTATGAAAGCAAGTTTCAACTCTGTGAGTTGAATGCAAACATCACAAAGAAGTTTCTCAGAATGCTTCCGTGTAGTTCTGGGAAGTTTATCCCGTTTCCAACGAAATCCTCAGAGAGGTCCAAATATCCCCTTGCAGATTCTACAGAAAGTGTGTTTGGAAACTGCGCCATCTAAAGGAATGTTCAGCTCTGTTAGTTCAATGCAATGATCACTAAGAATTGTCTGTGAATGCTTCCGTTTGGTTTTTAGATGAAGTTATTTCCTTTACTACAGTAGACCTCAAAGCAGTCCAAATCTCCAATCGCAGATTCTACAAAAAGATTGTTTACAACCTGCTCTATCTATGGGAATGTTCAACTCTGTGAGTCGAATGCAATTATCACAAAGTAGTTTCTGAGAATGCTTCCATCTAGTTTTTATGTGAAGATTTTCCTTTTCCACCACAGGCCTCAAAGCCCTCCAAATGTCCACTTGCAGATTCTAGAATAAGAGGGTTTCAGAGCTGCTCTGTCAAGAGGAAAGTTCAATTCCTGAAGTCGAACACAAACATCACAAAGCAGTTTCTGAGAATGCTTCTGTTTAGTTTTTCTGTGAAGATGAACCCGTTTCCAACGAAATCTTCACAGAGGTCCACATATCCACTTGCAGAATCCAAAGAAAGAGAGTTTCAAAACTGCTCCATCAACAGGATTGTTCGCCTCTGTGACTTGAATGCAGTCATCAGAGGAAACATTCTGAGAATGCTTCTGTCTAGGTTTGATGTGAAGATATACCCGTTTCGAAGGAAGGCCACAAAGTGGTCCAAATATCCACTTGCAGGTTCTACAAAAAGAGTGTTTGAAAGCTGAACTATGAAAGCAAGGTTCAACTCTGTGAGTTGAATGCAAACATCACAAAGAAGTTTCTCAGAATGCTTCCGTGTAGTTCTGGGAATTTTATCCCGTTTCCAACGAAATCCTCAGAGAGGTCCAAATATCCACTTGCAGATTCTACAGAAAGTGTGTTTGGAAACTGCTCCATCTAAAGCAATGTTCAGCTCTGTTAGTTCAATGCAATGATCACTAAGAATTGTCTGTGAATGCTTCCGTTTGGTTTTTAGATGAAGTTATTTCCTTTACTACAGTAGGCCTCAAAGCAGTCCAAATCTCCAATCGCAGATTCTACAAAAAGATTATTTACAACCTGCTCTATCTATAGGAATGTTCAACTCTGTGAGTCGAATGCAATCATCACAAAGTAGTTTCTGAGAATGCTTCCATCTAGTTTTTATGTGAAGAGTTTCCTTTTCCACCACAGGCCTCAAAGCCCTCCAAATGTCCACCTGCAGCTTCTAGAAAAAGAGGGTTTCAGAGCTGCTCTGTCAAGAGGAAAGTTCAATTCCTGAAGTGGAACACAAACATCCCAAAGCAGTTTCTGAGAATGCTTCTGTTTAGTTTTTCTGTGAAGATGAACCCGTTTCCAACGAAATCTTCACAGAGGTCCACATATCCACTTGCAGAATCCAAAGAAAGGGAGTTTCAAAACTGCTCCATCAGCAGGATTGTTCACCTCTGTGAGTTGAATGCAGTCATCACAGGAAACATTCTGAGAATGCTTCTGTCTAGGTTTGATGTGAAGATATACCCGTTTCGAAGGAAGGCCACAAAGTGGTCCAAATATCCACTTGCAGATTCTACAAAAAGAGTGTTTGAAAGCTGAACTATGAAAGCAAGGTTCAACTCTGTGAGTTGAATGCAAACATCACAGAGAAGTCTCTCAGAATGCTTCCGTGTAGTTCTGGGAAGTTTATCCCGTTTCCAACGAAATCCTCAGAGAGGTCCAAATATCCACTTGCAGATTCTACAGAAAGTGTGTTTGGAAACTGCGCCATCTAAAGGAATGTTCAGCTCTGTTAGTTCAATGCAATGATCACTAAGAATTGTCTGTGAATGCTTCCGTTTGGTTTTTAGATGAAGTTATTTCCTTTACTACAGTAGGCCTCAAAGAAATCCAAATCTCCAATCGCAGATTCTACAAAAACATTGTTTACAACCTGCTCTATCTATAGGAATGTTCAACTCTGTGAGTCGAATGCAATCATCACAAAGTAGTTTCTGAGAATGCTTCCATCTAGTTTTATGTGAAGATTTTCCTTTTCCACCACAGGCCTCAAAGCCCTCCAAATGTCCACTTGCAGATTCTAGAAAAAGAGGGTTTCCGAGCTGCTCTGTCAAGAGGAAAGTTCAATTCTTGAAGTGGAACACAAACATCACAAAGCAGTTTCTGAGAATGCTTCTGTTTAGTTTTTCTGTGAAGATGAACCCGTTTCCAACGAAATCTTCACAGAGTTCCACATATCAACTTGCAGAATCCAAAGAAAGAGAGTTTTAAAACTGCTCCATCAACAGGATTGTTCACCTCTGTGAGTTGAATGCAGTCATCACAGGAAACATTCTGAGAATGCTTCTGTCTAACTTTGATGTGAAGATATACCCGTTTCGAAGGAAGGACACAAAGTGGTCCAAATATCCACTTGCGGATTCTACAAAAAGAGTGTTTGAAAGCTGAACTATGAAAGCAAGGTTCAACTCTGTGAGTTGAATGCAAACATCACAAAGAAGTTTCTCAGAATGCTTCCGTGTAGTTCTGGGAAGTTTATCCCGTTTCCAACGAAATCCTCAGAGAGGTCCAAATATCCACTTGCAGATTCTACAGAAAGTGTGTTTGGAAACTGCGCCATCTAAAGGAATGTTCAGCTCTGTTAGTTCAATGCAATGATCACTAAGGATTGTCTGTGAATGCTTCCGTTTGGTTTTTAGATGAAGTTATTTCCTTTACTACAGTAGGCCTCAAAGCAGTCCAAATCTCCAATCGCAGATTCTACAAAAAGATTGTTTACAACCTGCTCTATGTATAGGAATGTTCAACTCTGTGAGTCGAATGCAATCATCACAAAGTAGTTTCTGAGAATGCTTCCATCTAGTTTTTATGTGAAGATTTTCCTTTTCCACCACAGGCCTCAAAGCCCTCCAAATGTCCACTTGCAGATTCTAGAATAAGAGGGTTTCAGAGCTGCTCTGTCAAGAGGAAAGTTCAATTCCTGAAGTGGAACACAAACATCACAAAGCAGTTTCTGAGAATGCTTCTGTTTAGTTTTTCTGTGAAGATGAACCCGTTTCCAACGAAATCTTCACAGAGGTCCACATATCCACTTGCAGAATCCAAAGAAAGTTTCAAAACTGCTCCATCAACAGGATTGTTCACCTCTGTGAGTTGAATGCAGTCATCACAGGAAACATTCTGAGAATGCTTCTGTCTAGGTTTGATGTGAAGATATACCCGTTTCGAAGGAAGGCCACAAAGTGGTCCAAATATCCACTTGCAGATTCTACAAAAAGAGTGTTTGAAAGCTGAACTATGAAAGCAAGGTTCAACTCTGTGAGTTGAATGCAAACATCACAAAGAAGTTTCTCAGAATACTTCCGTGTAGTTCTGGGAAGTTTATCCCGTTTCCAACGAAATCCTCAGAGAAGTCCAAATATCCACTTGCAGATTCTACAGAAAGTGGGTTTGGAAACTGCTCCATCTAAAGGAATGTTCAGCTCTGTTAGTTCAATCCAATGATCACTAAGAATTGTCTGTGAATGCTTCCGTTTGGTGTTTAGATGAAGTTATTTCCTTTACTACAGTAGGCCTCAAAGCAGTCCAAATCTCCAATCGCAGATTCTACAAAAAGATTGTTTACAACCTGCTCTATCTATAGGAATGTTCAACTCTGTGAGTCGAATGCAATCATCACAAAGTAGTTTCTGAGAATGCTTCCATCTAGTTTTTATGTGAAGATTTTCCTTTTCCACCACAGGCCTCAAAGCCCTCCAAATGTCCACTTGCAGATTCTAGAATAAGAGGGTTTCAGAGCTGCTCTGTCAAGAGGAAAGTTCAATTCTTGAAGTGGAACACAAACATCACAAAGCAGTTTCTGAGAATGCTCCTGTTTAGTTTTTCTGTGAAGATGAACCCGTTTCCAACGAAATCTTCACAGAGGTCCACATATCCACTTGCAGAATCCAAAGAAAGAGAGTTTCAAAACTGCTCCATTAGCAGGATTGTTCACCTCTGTGAGTTGAATGCAGTCATCACAGGAGACATTCTGAGAATGCTTCTGTCTAGGTTTGATGTGAAGATATACCCGTTTCGAAGGAAGGCCACAAAGTGGTCCAAATATCCACTTGCAGATTCTACAAAAAGAGTGTTTGAAAGCTGAACAATGAAAGCAAGGTTCAACTCTGTGAGTTGAATGCCAACATCACAAAGAAGTTTCTCACAATGCTTCCGTGTAGTTCTGGGAAGTTTATCCCGTTTCCAACGAAATCCTCAGAGAAGTCCAAATATCCACTTGCAGATTCTACAGAAAGTGGGTTTGGAAACTGCTCCATCTAAAGGAATGTTCAGCTCTGTTAGTTCAATCCAATGATCACTAAGAATTGTCTGTGAATGCTTCCGTTTGGTTTTTAGATGAAGTTATTTCCTTTACTACAGTAGGCCTCAAAGCAGTCCAAATCTCCAATCGCAGATTCTACAAAAAGTTTGTTTACATCCTGCTCTATCTATAGGAATGTTCAACTCTGTGAGTCGAATGCAATCATCACAAAGTAGTTTCTGAGAATGCTTCCATCTAGTTTTATGTGAAGATTTTCCTTTTCCACCACAGGCCTCAAAGCCCTCCAAATGGCCACTTGCAGATTCTAGAAAAAGAGGGTTTCAGAGCTGCTCTGTCAAGAGGAAAGTTCAATTCTTGAAGTGGAACACAAACATCACAAAGCAGTTTCTGAGAATGCTTCTGTTTAGTTTTTCTGTGAAGATGAACCCGTTTCCAACGAAATCTTCACAGAGGTCCACATATCCACTTGCAGAATCCAAAGAAAGAGAGTTTCAAAACTGCTCCATCAGCAGGATTGTTCACCTCTGTGAGTTGAATGCAGTCATCACAGGAAACATTCTGAGAATGCTTCTGTCTAGGTTTGATGTGAAGATATACCCGTTTCGAAGGAAGGCCACAAAGTGGTCCAAATATCCACTTGCAGATTCTACAAAAAGAGTGTTTGAAAGCTGAACTATGAAAGCAAGGTTCAACTCTGTGAGTTGAATGCAAACATCACAAAGAAGTTTCTCAGAATGCTTCCGTGTAGTTCTGGGAATTTTATCCCGTTTCCAACGAAATCTTCAGAGAAGTCCAAATATCCACTTGCAGATTCTACAGAAAGTGTGTTTGGAAACTGCTCCATCTAAAGGAATGTTCAGCTCTGTTAGTTCAATCCAGTGATCACTAAGAATTGTCTGTGAATGTTTCCGTTTGGTTTTTAGATGAAGTTATTTCCTCTACTACAGTAGGCCTCAAAGCAGTCCAAATCTCCAATCGCAGATTCTACAAAAAGATTGTTTACAACCTGCTCTATCTATAGGAATGTTCAACTCTGTGAGTCGAATGCAATCATCACAAAGTAGTTTCTGAGAATGCTTCCATCTAGTTTTTATGTGAAGATTTTCCTTTTCCACCACAGGCCTCAAAGCCCTACAAATGTCCACTTGCAGATTCTAGAAAAAGAGGGTTTCAGAGCTGCTCTGTCAAGAGGAAAGTTCAATTCTTGAAGTGGAACACAAACATCACAAAGCAGTTTCTGAGAATGCTCCTGTTTAGTTTTTCTGTGAAGATGAACCCGTTTCCAACGAAATCTTCACAGAGGTCCACATATCCACTTGCAGAATCCAAAGAAAGAGAGTTTCAAAACTGCTCCATCAGAAGGATTGTTCACCTCTGTGTGTTGAATGCAGTCATCACAGGAAACATTCTGAGAATGCTTCTGTCTAGGTTTGATGTGAAGATATACCCGTTTCGAAGGAAGGCCACAAAGTGGTCCAAATATCCACTTGCAGATCCTACAAAAAGAGTGTTTGAAAGCTGAACTATGAAAGCAAGGTTCAACTCTGTGAGTTGAATGCAAACATCAGAAAGAAGTTTCTCACAATGCTTCCGTGTAGTTCTGGGAAGTTTATCCCGTTTCCAACGAAATCCTCAGAGAGGTCCAAATATCCACTTGCAGATTCTACAGAAAGTGGGTTTGGAAACTGCGCCATCTAAAGCAATGTTCAGCTCTGTTAGTTCAATGCAATGATCACTAAGAATTGTCTGTGAATGCTTCCGTTTGGTTTTTAGATGAAGTAATTTCCTTTACTACAGTAGGCCTCAAAGCAGTCCAAATCTCCAATCGCAGATTCTACAAAAAGATTGTTTACAACCTGCTCTATCTATAGGAATGTTCAACTCTGTGAGTCGAATTCAATCATCACAAAGTAGTTTCTGAGAATGCTTCCATCTAGTTTTTATGTGAAGAGTTTCCTTTTCCACCACAGGCCTCAAAGCCCTCCAAATGTCCGCTTGCAGATTCTAGAAAAAGAGGGTTTCAGAGCTGCTCTGTCAAGAGGAAAGTTCAATTCTTGAAGTGGAACACAAACATCACAAAGCAGTTTCTGAGAATGCTTCTGTTTAGTTTTTCTGTGAAGATGAACCCGTTTCCAACGAAATCTTCACAGAGGTCCACATATCCACTTGCAGAATCCAAAGAAAGAGAGTTTCAAAACTGCTCCATCAGCAGGATTGTTCACCTCTGTGAGTTGAATGCAGTCATCACAGGAAACATTCTGAGAATGCTTCTGTCTAGGTTTGATGTGAAGATATACCCGTTTCGAAGGAAGGCCAAAAAGTGGTCCAAATATCCACTTGCAGATTCTACAAAAAGAGTGTTTGAAAGCTGAACTATGAAAGCAAGGTTCAACTCTGTGAGTTGAATGCAAACATCACAAAGAAGTTTCTCACAATGCTTCCGTGTAGTTCTGGGAAGTTTATCCCGTTTCCAACGAAATCCTCAGAGAAGTCCAAATATCCACTTGCAGATTCTACAGAAAGTGTGTTTGGAAACTGCTCCATCTAAAGGAATGTTCAGCTCTGTTAGTTCAATCCCATGATCACTAAGAATTGTCTGTGAATGCTTCCATTTTGGTTTTTAGATGAAGTTATTTCCTTTACTACAGTAGGCCTCAAAGCAGTCCAAATCTCCAATCGCAGATTCTACAAAAAGATTGTTTACAACCTGCTCTATCTATAGGAATGTTCAACTCTGTGAGTCGAATGCAATCATCACAAAGTAGTTTCTGAGAATGCTTCCATCTAGTTTTTATGTAAAGATTTTCCTTTTCCACCACAGGCCTCAAAGCCCTCCAAATGTCCACTTGCAGATTCTAGAAAAAGAGGGTTTCAGAGCTGCTCTGTCAAGAGGAAAGTTCAATTCTTGAAGTGGAACACAAACATCACAAAGCAGTTTCTGAGAATGCTTCTGTTTAGTTTTTCTGTGAAGATGAACCCGTTTCCAACGAAATCTTCACAGAGGTCCACATATCCACTTGCAGAATCCAAAGAAAGAGAGTTTCAAAACTGCTCCATCAGCAGGATTGTTCACCTCTGTGAGTTGAATGCAGTCATCACAGGAAACATTCTGAGAATGCTTCTGTCTAGGTTTGATGTGAAGATATACCCGTTTCGAAGGAAGGCCACAAAGTGGTCCAAATATCCACTTGCAGATTCTACAAAAAGAGTGTTTGAAAGCTGAACTATGAAAGCAAGGTTCAACTCTGTGAGTTGAATGCAAACATCACAAAGAAGTTTCTCACAATGCTTCCGTGTAGTTCTGGGAAGTTTATCCCGTTTCCAACGAAATCCTCAGAGAGGTCCAAATATCCACTTTCAGATTCTACAGAAAGTGTGTTTGGAAACTGCGCCATCTAAAGTAATGTTCAGCTCTGTTAGTTCAATGCAATGATCACTAAGAATTCTCTGTGAATGCTTCCGTTTGGTTTTTAGATGAAGTTATTTCCTTTACTACAGTAGGCCTCAAAGCAGTCCAAATCTCCAATCGCAGATTCTACAAAAAGATTGTTTACAACCTGCTCTATCTATAGGAATGTTCAACTCTGTGAGTCGAATGCAATCATCACAAAGTAGTTTCTGAGAATGCTTCCATCTAGTTTTTATGTGAAGATTTTCCTTTTCCACCACAGGCCTCAAAGCCCTCCAAATGTCCACTTGCAGATTCTAGAAAAAGAGGGTTTCAGAGCTGCTCTGTCAAGAGGAAAGTTCAATTCTTGAAGTGGAACACAAACATCACAAAGCAGTTTCTGAGAATGCTTCTGTTTAGTTTTTCTGTGAAGATGAACCCGTTTCCAACGAAATCTTCACAGAGGTCCACATATCAACTTGCAGAATCCAAAGAAAGAGAGTTACAAAACTGCTCCATCAACAGGATTGTTCACCTCTGTGAGTTGAATGCAGTCATCACAGGAAACATTCTGAGAATGCTTCTGTCTAGGTTTGATGTGAAGATATACCCGTTTCGAAGGAAGGCCACAAAGTGGTCCAAATATCCACTTGCAGATTCTACAAAAAGAGTGTTTGAAAGCTGAACTATGAAAGCAAGGTTCAACTCTGTGAGTTGAATGCAAACATCACAAAGAAGATTCTCAGAATGCTTCCGTGTAGTTCTGGGAAGTTTATCCCGTTTCCAACGAAATCCTCAGAGAGGTCCAAATATCCACTTGCAGATTCTACAGAAAGTGGGTTTGGAAACTGCGCCATCTAAAGCAATGTTCAACTCTGTTAGTTCAATGCAATGATCACTAAGAATTGTCTGTGAATGCTTTCCGTTTGGTTTTTAGATGAAGTTATTTCCTTTACTACAGTAGACCTCAAAGCAGTCCAAATCTCCAATCGCAGATTCTACAAAAAGATTGTTTACAACCTGCTCTATCTATAGGAATGTTCAACTCTGTGAGTCGAATGCAATCATCACAAAGTAGTTTCTGAGAATGCTTCCATCTAGTTTTTATGTGAAGATTTTCCTTTTCCACCACAGGCCTCAAAGCCCTCCAAATGTCCACTTGCAGATACTAGAAAAAGAGGGTTTCAGAGCTGCTCTGTCAAGAGGAAAGTTCAATTCTTGAAGTGGAACACAAACATCACAAAGCAGTTTCTGAGAATGCTTCTGTTTATTTTTTCTGTGAAGATGAACCCGTTTCCAACGAAATCTTCACAGAGGTCCACATATCCACTTGCAGAATCCAAAGAAAGAGAGTTTCAAAACTGCTCCATCAACAGGATTGTTCACCTCTGTGAGTTGAATGCAGTCATCACAGGAAACATTCTGAGAATGCTTCTGTCTAGGTTTGATGTGAAGATATACCCGTTTCGAAGGAAGGCCACAAAGTGGTCCAAATATACACTTGCAGATTCTACAAAAAGAGTGTTTGAAAGCTGAACTATGAAAACAAGGTTCAACTCTGTGAGTTGAATGCAAACATCACAAAGAAGTTTCTCACAATGCTTCCGTGTAGTTCTGGTAAGTTTATCCCGTTTCCAACGAAATCCTCAGAGAAGTCCAAATATCCACTTGCAGATTCTACAGAAAGTGTGTTTGGAAACTGCGCCGTCTAAAGCAATGTTCAGCTCTGTTAGTTCAATGCAATGATCACTAAGAATTGTCTGTGAATGCTTCCGTTTGGTTTTTAGATGAAGTTATTTCCTTTACTACAGTAGGCCTCAAAGCAGTCCAAATCTCCAATCGCAGATTCTACAAAAAGATTGTTTACAACCTGCTCTATCTATAGGAATGTTCAACTCTGTGAGTCGAAAGCCATCATCACAAAGTAGTTTCTGAGAATGCTTCCATCTAGTTTTTATGTGAAGATTTTCCTTTTCCACCACAGGCCTCAAAGCCCTCCAAATGTCCACTTGCAGATTCTAGAAAAAGAGGGTTTCAGAGCTGCTCTGTCAAGAGGAAAGTTCAATTCTTGAAGTGGAACACAAACATCACAAAGCAGTTTCTGAGAATGCTTCTGTTTAGTTTTTCTGTGAAGATGAACCCGTTTCCAACGAAATTCTTCACAGAGGTCCACATATCCACTTGCAGAATCCAAAGAAAGAGAGTTTCAAAACTGCTCCATCAACAGGATTGTTCACCTCTGTGAGTTGAATGCAGTCATCACAGGAAACATTCTGAGAATGCTTCTGTCTAGGTTTGATGTGAAGATATACCCGTTTCGAAGGAAGGCCACAAAGTGGTCCAAATATCCACTTGCAGATTCTACAAAAAGAGTGTTTGAAAGCTGAACTATGAAAGCAAGGTTCAACTCTGTGAGTTGAATGCAAACATCACAAAGAAGTTTCTCAGAATGCTTCCGTGTAGTTCTGGGAAGTTTATCCCGTTTCCAACGAAATCCTCAGAGAGGTCCAAATATCCACTTGCAGATTCTACAGAAAGTGTGTTTGGAAACTGCGCCATCTAAAGGAATGTTCAGCTCTGTTAGTTCAATCCAATAATCACTAAGAATTGTCTGTGAATGCTTCCGTTTGGTTTTTAGATGAAGTTATTTCCTTTACTACAGTAGGCCTCAAAGCAGTCCAAATCTCCAATCGCAGATTCTACAAAAAGATTGTTTACAACATGCTCTATCTATAGGAATGTTCAACTCTGTGAGTCGAATGCAATCATCACAAAGTAGTTTCTGAGAATGCTTCCATCTAGTTTTTATGTGAAGAATTTTCCTTTTCCACCACAGGCCTCAAAGCCCTTCAAATGTCCACTTGCAGATTCTAGAATAAGAGGGTTTCAGAGCTGCTCTGTCAAGAGGAAAGTTCAATTCCTGAAGTGGAACACAAACATCACAAAGCAGTTTCTGAGAATGCTTCTGTTTAGTTTTTCTGTGAAGATGAACCCGTTTCCAACGAAATCTTCACAGAGGTCCACATATCCACTTGCAGAATCCAAAGAAAGAGAGTTTCAAAACTGCTCCATCAGCAGGATTGTTCACCTCTGTGAGTTGAATGCAGTCATCACAGGAAACATTCTGAGAATGCTTCTGTCTAGGTTTGATGTGAAGATATACCCGTTTCGAAGGAAGGCCACAAAGTGGTCCAAATATCCACTTGCAGATTCTACAAAAGGAGTGTTTGAAAGCTGAACTATGAAAGCAAGGTTCAACTCTGTGTGTTGAATGCAAACATCACAAAGAAGTTTCTCACAATGCTTCCGTGTAGTTCTGGGAAGTTTATCCCTTTTCCAACGAAATCCTCAGAGAAGTCCAAATATCCACTTGCAGATTCTACAGAAAGTGTGTTTGGAAACTGCGCCATCTAAAGGAATGTTCAGCTCTGTTAGTTCAATCCAATGATCACTAAGAATTGTCTGTGAATGCTTCCGTTTGGTTTTTAGATGAAGTTATTTCCTTTACTACAGTAGGCCTCAAAGCAGTCCAAATCTCCAATCGCAGATTCTACAAAAAGATTGTTTACAACCTGCTCTATCTATAGGAATGTTCAACTCTGTGAGTCGAATGCAATCATCACAAAGTAGTTTCTGAGAATGCTTCCATCTAGTTTTTATGTGAAGATTTTCCTTTTCCACCACAGGCCTCAAAGCCCTCCAAATGTCCACTTGCAGATTCTAGAATAAGAGGGTTTCAGAGCTGCTCTGTCAAGAGGAAAGTACAATTCCTGAAGTGGAACACAAACATCACAAAGCAGTTTCTGAGAATGCTCCTGTTTAGTTTTTCTGTGAAGATGAACCCGTTTCCAACGAAATCTTCCCAGAGGTCCACATATCCACTTGCAGAATCCAAAGAAAGAGAGATTCAAAACTGCTCCATCAACAGGATTGTTCACCTCTGTGAGTTGAATGCAGTCATCACAGGAAACATTCTGAGAATGCTTCTGTCTAGGTATGATGTGAAGATATACCCGTTTCGAAGGAAGGCCAAAAAGTGGTCCAAATATCCACTTGCAGATTCTACAAAAAGAGTGTTTGAAAGCTGAACTATGAAAGCAAGGTTCAACTCTGTGAGTTGAATGCAAACATCACAAAGAAGTTTCTCAGAATGCTTCCGTGTAGTTCTGGGAAGTTTATCCCGTTTCCAACGAAATCCTCAGAGAGGTCCAAATATCCACTTGCAGATTCTACAGAAAGTGTGTTTGGAAACTGCGCCATCTAAAGGAATGTTCAGCTCTGTTAGTTCAATCCAATGATCACTAAGAATTGTCTGTGAATGCTTCCGTTTGGTTTTTAGATGAAGTTATTTCCTTTACTACAGTAGGCCTCAAAGCAGTCCAAATCTCCAATCGCAGATTCTACAAAAAGATTGTTTACAACCTGCTCTATCTATAGGAATGTTCAACTCTGTGAGTCGAATGCAATCATCACAAAGTAGTTTCTGAGAATGCTTCCATCTAGTTTTTATGTGAAGATTTTCCTTTTCCACCACAGGCCTCAAAGCCCTCCAAATGTCCACTTGCAGATTCTAGAATAAGAGGGTTTCAGAGCTGCTCTGTCAAGAGGAAAGTTCAATTTCCTGAAGTGGAACACAAACATCACAAAGCAGTTTCTGAGAATGTTTCTGTTTAGTTTTTCTGTGAAGATGAACCCGTTTCCAACGAAACCTTCACAGAGGTCCACATATCCACTTGCAGAATCCAAAGAAAGAGAGTTTCAAAACTGCTCCATCAGCAGGATTGTTCACCTCTGTGAGTTGAATGCAGTCATCACAGGAAACATTCTGAGAATGCTTCTGTCTAGGTTTGATGTGAAGTATATACCCGTTTCGAACGAAGGCCACAAAGTGGTCCAAATATCCACTTGCAGATTCTACAAAAAGAGTGTTTGAAAGCTGAACTATGAAAACAAGGTTCAACTCTGTGAGTTGAATGCAAACATCACAAAGAAGTTTCTCAGAATGCTTCCGTGTAGTTCTGGGAATTTTATCCCGTTTCCAACGAAATCCTCAGAGAGGTCCAAATATCCACTTGCGGATTCTACAGAAAGTGTGTTTGGAAACTGCTCCATCTAAAGGAATGTTCAGCTCTGTTAGTTCAATGCAATGATCACTAAGAATTGTCTGTGAATGCTTCCGTTTGGTTTTTAGATGAAGTTATTTCCTTTACTACAGTAGGCCTCAAAGCAATCCAAATCTCCAATCGCAGATTCTACAAAAAGATTGTTTACAACCTGCTCTATCTATAGGAATGTTCAACTCTGTGAGTCGAATGCAATCATCACAAAGTAGTTTCTGAGAATGCTTCCATCTAGTTTTTATGTGAAGATTTTCCTTTTCCACCACAGGCCTCAAAGCCCTCCAAATGTCCACTTGCAGATTCTAGAAAAAGAGGGTTTCAGAGCTGCTCTGTCAAGAGGAAAGTTCAATTCTTGAAGTGGAACACAAACATCACAAAGTAGTTTCTGAGAATGCTCCTGTTTAGTTTTTCTGTGAAGATGAACCCGTTTCCAACGAAATCTTCACAGAGGTCCACATATCCACTTGCAGAATCCAAAGAAAGAGAGTTTCAAAACTGCTCCATCAGCAGGATTGTTCACCTCTGTGAGTTGAATGCAGTCATCACAGGAAAACATTCTGAGAATGCTTCTGTCTAGGTTTGATGTGAAGATATACCCGTTTCGAAGGAAGGCCACAAAGTGGTCCAAATATCCACTTGCAGATCCTACAAAAAGAGTGTTTGATAGCTGAACTATGAAAGCAAGGTTCAACTCTGTGAGTTGAATGCAAACATCACAAAGAAGTTTCTCAGAATGCTTCCGTGTAGTTCTGGGAAGTTTATCCCGTTTCCTACGAAATCCTCATAGAGGTCCAAATATCCACTTGCAGATTCTACAGAAAGTGTGTTTGGACACTGCTCCATCTAAAGGAATGTTCAGCTCTGTTAGTTCAATCCAATGATCACTAAGAATTGTCTGTGAATGCTTCCGTTTGGTTTTTAGATGAAGTTATTTCCTTTACTACAGTAGGCCTCAAAGCAGTCCAAATCTCCAATCGCAGATTCTACAAACAGATTGTTTACAACCTGCTCTATCTATAGGAATGTTCAACTCTGTGAGTCGAATGCAATCATCCCAAAGTAGTTCCTGAGAATGCTTCCATCTAGTTTTTATGTGAAGGTTTTCCTTTTCCACCACAGGCCTCAAAGCCCTCCAAATGTCCACTTGCAGATTCTAGAAAAAGAGGGTGTCAGAGCTGCTCTGTCAAGAGGAAAGTTCAATTCTTGAAGTGGAACACAAACATCACAAAGCAGTTTCTGAGAATGCTTCTGTTTAGGTTTTCTGTGAAGATAAACCCGTTTCCAACGAAATCTTCACAGAGGTCCACATATCCTCTTGCAGAATCCAAAGAAAGAGAGTTTCAAAACTGCTCCATCAGCAGGATTGTTCACCTCTGTTAGTTGAATGCAGTCATCACAGGAAACATTCTGAGAATGCTTCTGTCTAGGTTTGATGTGAAGATATACCCGTTTCGAAGGAAGGCAACAAAGTGGTCCAAATATCCACTTGCAGATTCTACAAAAAGAGTGTTTGAAAGCTGAACTATGAAAGCAAGGTTCAACTCTGTGAGTTGAATGCAAACATAACAAAGAAGTTTCTCAGAATGCTTCCGTGTAGTTCTGGGAAGTTTATCCCGTTTCCAACGAAATCCTCAGAGAAGTCCAAATATCCACTTGCAGATTCTACAGAAAGTGTGTTTGGAAACTGCGCCATCTAAAGGAATGTTCAGCTCTGTTAGTTCAATGCAATGATCACTAAGAATTGTCTGTGAATGCTTCCGTTTGGTTTTTAGATGAAGTTATTTCCTTTACTACAGTAGGCCTCAAAGCAGTCCAAATTTCCAATCGCAGATTCTACAAAAAGATTGTTTACAACCTGCTCTATCTATAGGAATGTTCAACTCTGTGAGTCGAATGCAATCATCACAAAGTAGGTTCTGAGAATGCTTCCATCTAGTTTTTATGTGAAGATTTTCCTTTTCCACCACAGGCCTCAAATCCCTCCAAATGTCCACTTGCAGATTCTAGAATAAGAGGGTTTCAGAGCTGCTCTGTCAAGAGGAAAGTTGAATTCCTGAAGTGGAACACAAACATCACAAAGCAGTTTCTGAGAATGCTCCTGTTTAGTTTTTCTGTGAGGATGAACCCGTTTCCAACGAAATCCTCACAGAGGTCCACATATCCACTTGCAGAATCCAAAGAAAGAGAGTTTCAAAACTGCTCCATCAGCAGGATTGTTCACCTCTGTGAGTTGAATGCAGTCATCACAGGAAACATTCTGAGAATGCTTCTGTCTAGGTTTGATGTGAAGATATACCCGTTTCAAAGGAAGGCCACAAAGTGGTGCAAATATCCACTTGCAGATTCTACAAAAAGAGTGTTTGAAAGCTGAACTATGAAAGTAAGGTTCAACTCTGTGAGTTGAATGCAAACATCACAAAGAAGTTTCTCAGAATGCTTCCGTGTAGTTCTGGGAAGTTTATCCCGATTCCAACGAAATCCTCAGAGAGGTCCAAATATCCACTTGCAGATTCTACAGAAAGTGTGTTTGGAAACTGCTCCATCTAAAGGAATGTTCAGCTCTGTTAGTTCAATGCAATGATCACTAAGAATTCTCTGTGAATGCTTCCGTTTGGTTTTTAGATGAAGTTATTTCCTTTACTACAGTAGGCCTCAAAGCAGTCCAAATCTCAAATCGCAGATTCTACAAAAAGATTGTTTACAACCTGCTCTATCTATAGGAATGTTCAACTCTGTGAGTCGAATGCAATCATCACAAAGTAGTTTCTGAGAATGCTTCCATCTAGTTTTTATGTGAAGATTTTCCTTTTCCACCACAGGCCTCAAAGCCCTCCAAATGTCCACTTGCAGATTCTAGAAAAAGAGGGTTTCAGAGCTGCTCTGTCAAGAGGAAAGTTCAATTCCTGAAGTGGAACACAAACATCACAAAGCAGTTTCTGAGAATGCTTCTGTTTAGTTTTTCTGTGAAGATGAACCCGTTTCCAACGAAATCTTCACAGAGGTCCACATATCAACTTGCAGAATCCAAAGAAAGAGAGTTTCAAAACTGCTCCATCAACAGGATTGTTCACCTCTGTGAGTTGAATGCAGTCATCACAGGAAACATTCTGAGAATGCTTCTGTCTAGGTTTGATGTGAAGATGTACCCGTTTCAAAGGAAGGCCACAAAGTGGTCCAAATATCCACTTGCAGATTCTACAAAAAGAGTGTTTGAAAGCTGAACTATGAAAGCAAGGTTCAACTCTGTGAGTTGAATGCAAACATCAGAAAGATGATTCTCACAATGCTTCCGTGTAGTTCTGGGAATTTTATCCCGTTTCCAACGAAATCCTCAGAGAAGTCCAAATATCCACTTGCAGATTCTGCAGAAAGTGTGTTTGGAAACTGCTCCATCTAAAGGAATGTTCAGCTCTGTTAGCTCAATCCAATGATCACTAAGAATTGTCTGTGAATGCTTCCGTTTGGTTTTTAGATGAAGTTATTTCCTTTACTACAGTAGGCCTCAAAGCAGTCCAAATCTCCAATCGCAGATTCTACAAAAACATTGTTTACAACCTGCTCTATCTATAGGAATGTTCAACTCTGTGAGTCGAATGCAATCATCACAAAGTAGTTTCTGAGAATGCTTCCATCTAGTTTTTATGTGAAGATTTTCCTTTTCCACCACAGGCCTCAAAGCCCTCCAAATGTCCACTTGCAGATTCTAGAATAAGAGGGTTTCAGAGCTGCTCTGTCAAGAGGAAAGTTCAATTCCTGAAGTGGAACACAAACATCACAAAGCAGTTTCTGAGAATGCTCCTGTTTAGTTTTTCTGTGAAGATGAACCCGTTTCCAACGAAATCTTCAAAGAGTTCCACATATCCACTTGCAGAATCCAAAGAAAGGGAGTTTCAAAACTGCTCCATCAACAGGATTGTTCACCTCTGTGAGTTGAATGCAGTCATCACAGGAAACATTCTGAGAATGCTTCTGTCTAGGTTTGATGTGAAGATATACCCGTTTCGAAGGAAGGCCACAAAGTGGTCCAAATATCCACTTGCAGATTCTACAAAAAGAGTGTTTGAAAGCTGAACTATGAAAGCAAGGTTCAACTCTGTGAGTTGAATGCAAACATCACAAAGAAGTTTCTCACAATGCTTCCGTGTAGTTCTGGGAAGTTTATCCCGTTTACAACGAAATCTTCAGAGAAGTCCAAATATCCACTTGCAGATTCTACAGAAAGTGGGTTTGGAAACTGCTCCATCTAAAGGAATGTTCAGCTCTGTTAGTTCAATCCAATGATCACTAAGAATTGTCTGTGAATGCTTCCGTTTGGTTTTTAGATGAAGTTATTTCCTTTACTACAGTAGGCCTCAAAGCAGTCCAAATCTCCAATCGCAGATTCTACAAAAAGATTGTTTACAACCTGCTCTATCTATACGAATGTTCAACTCTGTGAGTCGAATGCAATCATCACAAAGTAGTTTCTGAGAATGCTTCCATCTAGTTTTTATGTGAAGATTTTCCTTTTCCACCACTGGCCTCAAAGCCCTCCAAATGTCCACTTGCAGATTCTAGAATAAGAGGGTTTCAGAGCTGCTCTGTCAAGAGGAAAGTTCAATTCCTGAAGTGGAACACAAAAATCACAAAGCAGTTTCTGAGAATGCTTCTGTTTAGTTTTTCTCTGAAGATGAACCCGTTTCCAACGAAATCTTCACAGAGGTCCACATATCAACTTGCAGAATCCAAAGAAAGAGAGTTTCAAAAGTGCTCCATCAACAGGATTGTTCACCTCTGTGAGTTGAATGCAGTCATCACAGGAAACATTCTGAGAATGCTTCTGTCTAGGTTTGATGTGAAGATATACCCGTTTCGAAGGAAGGCCACAAAGTGGTCCAAATATCCACTTGCAGATTCTACAAAAAGAGTGTTTGAAAGCTGAACTATGAAAGCAAGGTTCAACTCTGTGAGTTGAATGCAAACATCCAAAGAAGTTTCTCAGAATGCTTCCCTGTAGTTCTGGGAAGCATATCCCGTTTCCAACGAAATCCTCAGAGAAGTCCAAATATCCACTTGCAGATTCTACATAAAGTGGGTTTGGAAACTGCTCCATCTAAAGGAATGTTCAGCTCTGTTAGTTCAATCCAATGATCACTAAGAATTGTCTGTGAATGCTTCCGTTTGGTTTTTAGATGAAGTTATTTCCTTTACTACAGTAGGCCTCAAAGCAGTCCAAATCTCCAATCGCAGATTCTACAAAAAGATTGTTTACAACCTGCTCTATCTATAGGAATGTTCAACTCTGTGAGTCGAATGCCATCATCACAAAGTAGTTTCTGAGAATGCTTCCATCTAGTTTTTATGTGAAGATTTTCCTTTTCCACCACAGGCCTCAAATCCCTCCAAATGTCCACTTGCAGATTCTAGAATAAGAGGGTTTCAGAGCTGCTCTGTCAAGAGGAAAGTTCAATTCTTGAAGTGGAACACAAACATCACAAAGCAGTTTCTGAGAATGCTCCTGTTTAGTTTTTCTGTGAAGATGAACCCGTTTCCAACGAAATCTTCACAGAGGTCCACATATCCACTTGCAGAATCCAAAGAAAGAGAGTTTCAAAACTGCTCCATCAGCAGGATTGTTCACCTTTGTGAGTTGAATGCAGTCATCACAGGAAACATTCTGAGAATGCTTCTGTCTAGGTTTGATGTGAAGATATACCCGTTTCGAAGGAAGGCCACAAAGTGGTCCAAATATCCACTTGCAGATTCTACAAAAAGAGTGTTTGAAAGCTGAACTATGAAAGCAAGGTTCAACTCTGTGAGTTGAATGCAAACATCACAAAGAAGTTTCTCACAATGCTTCCGTGTAGTTCTGGGAAGTTTATCCCGTTTCCAACGAAATCCTCAGAGAAGTCCAAATATCCACTTGCAGATTCTTCAGAAAGTGGGTTTGGAAACTGCTCCATCTAAAGGAATGTTCAGCTCTGTTAGTTCAATCCAATGATCACTAAGAATTGTCTGTGAATGCTTCCGTTTGGTTTTTAGATGAAGTTATTTCCTTTACTACAGTAGGCCTCAAAGCAGTCCAAATCTCCAATCGCAGATTCTACAAAAAGATTGTTTACAACCTGCTCTATCTATAGGAATGTTCAACTCTGTGAGTCGAATGCAATCATCACAAAGTAGTTTCTGAGAATGCTTCCATCTAGTTTTTATGTGAAGATTTTCCTTTTCCACCACAGGCCTCAAAGCCCTCCAAATGTCCACTTGCAGATTCTAGAATAAGAGGGTTTTAGAGCTGCTCTGTCAAGAGGAAAGTTCAATTCCTGAAGTGGAACACAAACATCACAAAGCAGTTTCTGAGAATGCTTCTGTTTAGTTTTTCTGTGAAGATGAACCCGTTTCCAACGAAATCTTCACAGAGGTCCACATATCCACTTGCAGAATCCAAAGAAAGAGAGTTTCAAAACTGCTCCATCAGCAGGATTGTTCACCTCTGTGAGTTGAATGCAGTCATCACAGGAAACATTCTGAGAATGCTTCTGTCTAGGTTTGATGTGAAGATATACCCGTTTCGAAGGAAGGCCACAAAGTGGTCCAAATATCCACTTGCAGATTCTACAAAAAGAGTGTTTGAAAGCTGAACTATGAAAGCAAGGTTCAACTCTGTGAGTTGAATGCAAACATCACAAAGAAGTTTCTCACAATGCTTCCGTGTAGTTCTGGGAAGTTTATCCCGTTTCCAACGAAATCCTCAGAGAAGTCAAAATATCCACTTGCAGATTCTACAGAAAGTGGGTTTGGAAACTGCTCCATCTAAAGGAATGTTCAGCTCTGTTAGTTCAATCCAATGATCACTAAGAATTGTCTGTGAATGCTTCCGTTTGGTTTTTAGATGAAGTTATTTCCTTTACTACAGTAGGCCTCAAAGCAGTCCAAATCTCCAATCGCAGATTCTACAAAAAGATTGTTTACAACCTGCTCTATCTATAGGAATGTTCAACTCTGTGAGTCGAATGCAATCATCACAAAGTAGTTTCTGAGAATGCTTCCATCTAGTTTTGATGTGAAGATATTCCTTTTCCACCACAGGCCTCAAAGCCCTCCAAATGTCCACTTGCAGATTCTAGAAAAAGAGGGTTTCAGAGCTGCTCTATCAAGAGGAAAGTTCAATTCCTGAAGTGGAACACAAACATCACAAAGCAGTTTCTGAGAATGCTCCTGTTTAGTTTTTCTGTGAAGATGAACCCGTTTCCAATGAAATCTTCACAGAGGTCCACATATCCACTTGCAGAATCCAAAGAAAGAGAGTTTCAAAACTGCTCCAACAGCAGGATTGTTCACCTCTGTGAGTTGAATGCAGTCATCACAGGAAACATTCTGAGAATGCTTCTGTCTAGGTTTGATGTGAAGATATACCCGTTTCGAAGGAAGGCCACAAAGTGGTCCAAATATCCACTTGCAGATTCTACAAAAAGAGTGTTTGAAAGCTGAACTATGAAAGCAAGGTTCAACTCTGTGAGTTGAATGCAAACATCACAAAGAAGTTTCTCAGAATGCTTCCGTGTAGTTCTGGGAAGTTTATCCCGTTTCCAACGAAATCCTCAGAGAAGTCCAAATATCCACTTGCAGATTCTACAGAAAGTGTGTTTGGAAACTGCGCCATCTAAAGGAATGTTCAGCACTGTTAGTTCAATCCAATGATCACTAAGAATTGTCTGTGAATGCTTCCGTTTGGTTTTTAGATGAAGTTATTTCCTTTACTACAGTAGGCCTCAAAGCAGTCCAAATCTCCAATCGCAGATTCTACAAAAAGATTGTTTACAACCTGCTCTATCTATAGGAATGTTCAACTCTGTGAGTCGAATGCAATCATCACAAAGTAGTTTCTGAGAATGCTTCCATCTAGTTTTTATGTGAAGATTTTCCTTTTCCACCACAGGCCTCAAAGCCCTCCAAATGTCCACTTGCAGATTCTAGAAAAAGAGGGTTTCAGAGCTGCTCTGTAAAGAGGAAAGTTCAATTCTTGAAGTGGAACACAAACATCACAAAGCAGTTTCTGAGAATCCTTCTGTTTAGTTTTTCTGTGAAGATGAACCCGTTTCCAACGAAATCTTCACAGAGGTCCACATATCCACTTGCAGAATCCAAAGAAAGAGAGTTTCAAAACTGCTCCATCAGCAGGATTGTTCACCTCTGTGAGTTGAATGCAGTCATCACAGGAAACATTCTGAGAATGCTTCTGTCTAGATTTGATGTGAAGATATACCCGTTTCGAAGGAAGGCCACAAAGTGGTCCAAATATCCACTTGCAGATTCTACAAAAAGAGGGTTTGAAAGCTGAACTATGAAAGCAAGGTTCAACTCTCTGAGTTGAAAGCAAACATCACAAAGAAGTTTCTCAGAATGCTTCCGTGTAGTTCTGGGAAGTTTAGCCCGTTTCCAACGAAATCCTCAGAGAGGTCCAAAATATCCACTTGCAGATTCTACAGAAAGTGTGTTTGGAAACTGCTCCATCTAAAGGAATGTTCAGCTCTGTTAGTTCAATCCAATGATCACTAAGAATTGTCTGTGAATGCTTCCGTTTGGTTTTTAGATGAAGTTATTTCCTTTACTACAGTAGGCCTCAAAGCAGTCCAAATCTCCAATCGCAGATTCTACAAAATGATTGTTTACAACCTGCTCTATCTATAGGAATGTTCAACTCTGTGAGTCGAATGCAGTCATCACAAAGTAGTTTCTGAGAATGCTTCCATCTAGTTTTTATGTGAAGATTTTCCTTTTCCACCACAGGCCTCAAAGCCCTCCAAATGTCCACTTGCAGATTCTAGAATAAGAGGGTTTCAGAGCTGCTCTGTCAAGAGGAAAGTTCAATTCCTGAAGTGGAACACAAACATCACAAAGCAGTTTCTGAGAATGCTCCTGTTTAGTTTTTCTGTGAAGATGAACCCGTTTCCAACGAAATCTTCACAGAGGTCCACATATCCACTTGCAGAATCCAAAGAAAGAGAGTTTCAAAACTGCTCCATCAGCAGGATTGTTCACCTCTGTGAGTTGAATGCAGTCATCACAGGAAACATTCTGAGAATGCTTCTGTCTAGGTTTGATGTGAAGATATACCCGTTTCGAAGGAAGGCCACAAAGTGGTCCAAATATCCACTTGCAGATTCTACAAAAAGAGTGTTTGAAAGCTGAACTATGAAAGCAACGTTCAACTCTGTGAGTTGAATGCAAACATCACAAAGAAGTTTCTCACAATGCTTCCCTGTAGTTCTGAGAAGTTTATCCCGTTTCCAACGAAATCCTCAGAGAAGTCCAAATATCCACTTGCAGATTCTACAGAAAGTGTGTTTGGAAGCTGCTCCATCTAAAGGAATGTTCAGCTCTGTTAGTTCAATCCAATGATCACTAAGAATTGTCTGTGAATGCTTCCGTTTGGTTTTTAGATGAAGTTATTTCCTTTACTACAGTAGGCCTCAAAGCAGTCCAAATCTCCAATCGCAGATTCTACAAAAAGATTGTTTACAACCTGCTCTACCTATAGGAATGTTCAACTCTGTGAGTCGAATGCAATCATCACAAAGTAGTTTCTGAGAATGCTTCCATCTAGTTTTTATGTGAAGATTTTCCTTTTCCACCACAGGCCTCAAAGCCCTCCAAATGTCCACTTGCAGATTCTAGAATAAGAGGGTTTTAGAGCTGCTCTGTCAAGAGGAAAGTTCAATTCCTGAAGTGGAACACAAACATCACAAAGCAGTTTCTGAGAATGCTTCTGTTTCGTTTTTCTGTGAAGATGAACCCGTTTCCAACGAAATCTTCACAGAGGTCCACATATCCACTTGCAGAATCCAAAGAAAGAGAGTTTCAAAACTGCTCCATCAACAGGATTGTTCACCTCTGTGAGTTGAATGCAGTCATCACAGGAAACATTCTGAGAATGCTTCTGTCTAGGTTTGATGTGAAGATATACCCGTTTCGAAGGAAGGCCACAAAGTGGTCCAAATATCCACTTGCAGATTCTACAAAAAGAGTGTTTGAAAGCTGAACTATGAAAGCAAGGTTCAACTCTGTGAGTTGAATGCAAACATCACAAAGAAGTTTCTCACAATGCTCCGTGTAGTTCTGGGAAGTTTATCCCGTTTCCAACGAAATCCTCAGAGAGGTCCAAATATCCACTTGCAGATTCTACAGAAAGTGTGTTTGGAAACTGCGCCATCTAAGGGAATGTTCAGCTCTGTTAGTTCAATCCAATGATCACTAAGAATTGTCTGTGAATGCTTCCGTTTGGTTTTTAGATGAAGTTATTTCCTTTACTACAGTAGGCCTCAAAGCAGTCCAAATCTCCAATCGCAGATTCTACAAAAAGATTGTTTACAACCTGCTCTATCTATAGGAATGTTCAACTCTGTGAGTCGAATGCAATCATCACAAAGTAGTTTCTGAGAATGCTTCCATCTAGTTTTTATGTGAAGATTTTCCTTTTCCACCACAGGCCTCAAAGCCCTCCAAATGTCCACTTGCAGATTCTAGAAAAAGAGGGTTTCAGAGCTGCTCTGTCAAGAGGAAAGTTCAATTCTTGAAGTGGAACACAAACATCACAAAGCAGTTTCTGAGAATGCTTCTGTTTAGTTTTTCTGTGAAGATGAACCCGTTTCCAACGAAATCTTCACAGAGGTCCACATATCCACTTGCAGAATCCAAAGAAAGAGAGTTTCAAAACTCCTCCATCAGCAGGATTGTTCACCTCTGTGAGTTGAATGCAGTCATCACAGGAAACATTCTGAGAATGCTTCTGTCTAGGTTTGATGTGAAGATATACCCTTTTCAAAGGAAGGCCACAAAGTGGTCCAAATATCCACTTGCAGATTCTACAAAAAGAGTGTTTGAAAGCTGAACTATGAAAGCAAGGTTCAACTCTGTGAGTTGAATGCAAACATCACAAAGAAGTTTCTCACAATGCTTCCGTGTAGTTCTGGGAAGTTTATCCCGTTTCCAAAGAAATCCTCAGAGAAGTCCAAATATCCACTTGCAGATCCTACAGAAAGTGGGTTTGGAAACTGCTCCATCTAAAGGAATGTTCAGCTCTGTTAGTTCAATCCAATGATCACTAAGAATTGTCTGTGAATGCTTCCGTTTGGTTTTTAGATGAAGTTATTTCCTTTACTACAGTAGGCCTCAAAGCAGTCCAAATCTCCAATCGCAGATTCTACAAAAAGATTGTTTACAACCTGCTCTATCTATAGGAATGTTCAACTCTGTGAGTCGAATGCAATCATCACAAAGTAGTTTCTGAGAATGCTTCCATCTAGTTTTTATGTGAAGAGTTTCCTTTTCCACCACAGGCCTCAAAGCCCTCCAAATGTCCACTTGCAGATTCTAGAATAAGAGGTTTTCAGAGCTGCTCTGTCAAGAGGAAAGTTCAATTCCTGAAGTGGAACAAAAACATCACAAAGCAGTTTCTGAGAATGCTTCTGTTTAGTTTTTCTGTGAAGATGAACCCGTTTCCAACGAAATCTTCACAGAGGTCCACATATCAACTTGCAGAATCCAAAGAAAGAGAGTTTCAAAACTGCTCCAACAGCAGGATTGTTCACCTCTGTGAGTTGAATGCAGTCATCACAGGAAACATTCTGAGAATGCTTCTGTCTAGGTTTGATGTGAAGATATACCCGTTTCGAAGGAAGGCCACAAAGTGGTCCAAATATCCACTTGCAGATTCTACAAAAAGAGTGTTTGAAAGCTGAACTATGAAAGCAAGGTTCAACTCTGTGAGTTGAATGCAAACATCACAAAGAAGTTTCTCAGCCATGCTTCCGTGTAGTTTTGGGAATTTTATCCCGTTTCCAACGAAATCCTCAGAGAGGTCCAAATATCCACTTGCAGATTCTACAGAAAGTGTGTTTGGAAACTGCTCCATCTAAAGCAATGTTCAGCTCTGTTAGTTCAATGCAATGATCACGAAGAATTGTCTGTGAATGCTTCCGTTTGGTTTTTAGATGAAGTTATTTCCTTTACTACAGTAGGCCTCAAAGCAGTCCAAATTTCCAATCGCAGATTCTACAAAAAGATTGTTTACAACCTGCTCTATCTATAGGAATGTTCAACTCTGTGAGTCGAATGCAATCATCACAAAGTAGTTTCTGAGAATGCTTCCATCTAGTTTTTATGTGAAGATTTTCCTTTTCCACCACAGTCCTCAAAGCCCTCCAAATGTCCACTTGCAGATTCTAGAATAAGAGGATTTCAGAGCTGCTCTGTCAAGAGGAAAGTTCAATTCCTGAAGTGGAACACAAACATCACAAAGCAGTTTCTGAGAATGCTTCTGTTTAGTTTTTCTGTGAAGATGAACCCGTTTCCAACGAAATCTTCACAGAGGTCCACATATCCACTTGCAGAATCCAAAGAAAGAGAGTTTCAAAACTGCTCCATCAACAGGATTGTTCACCTCTGTGAGTTGAATGCAGTCATCACAGGAAACATTCTGAGAATGCTTCTGTCTAGGTTTGATGGGAAGATATACCCGTTTCGAAGGAAGGCCACAAAGTGGTCCAAATATCCACTTGCAGATTCTACAAAAAGAGTGTTTGAAAGCTGAACTATGAAAGCAAGGTTCAACTCTGTGAGTTGAATGCAAACATCACAAAGAAGTTTCTCAGAATGCTTCCGTGTAGTTCTGGGAAGTTTATCCCGTTTCCAACGAAATCCTCAGAGAGGTCCAAATATCCACTTGCAGATTCTACAGAAAGTGTGTTTGGAAACTGCTCCATCTAAAGGAATGTTCAGCTCTGTTAGTTCAATCCAATGATCACTAAGAATTGTCTGTGAATGCTTCCGTTTGGTTTTTAGATGAAGTTATTTCCTTTACTACAGTAGGCCTCAAAGCAGTCCAAATCTCCAATCGCAGATTCTACAAAAAGATTGTTTACAACCTGCTCTATCTATAGGAATGTTCAACTCTGTGAGTCGAATGCAATCATCACAAAGTAGTTTCTGAGAATGCTTCCATCTAGTTTTTATGTGAAGATTTTCCTTTTCCACCACAGGCCTCAAAGCCCTCCAAATGTCCACTTGCAGATTCTAGAAAAAGAGGGTTTCAGAGCTGCTCTGTCAAGAGGAAAGTTCAATTCCTGAAGTGGAACACAAACATCACAAAGCAGTTTCTGAGAATGCTTCTGTTTAGTTTTTCTGTGAAGATGAACCCGTTTCCAACGAAATCTTCACAGAGGTCCACATATCCACTTGCAGAATCCAAAGAAAGAGAGTTTCAAAACTGCTCCATCAGCAGGATTGTTCACCTCTGTGAGTTGAATGCAGTCATCACAGGAAACATTCTGAGAATGCTTCTGTCTAGGTTTGATGTGAAGATATACCCGTTTCGAAGGAAGGCCACAAAGTGGTCCAAATATCCACTTGCAGATTCTACAAAAAGAGTGTTTGAAAGCTGAACTATGAAAGCAAGGTTCAACTCTATGAGTTGAATGCAAACATCACAAAGAAGTTTCTCAGAATGCTTCCCTGTAGTTCTGGGAAGTTTATCCCGTTTCCAACGAAATCCTCAGAGAAGTCCAAATATCCACTTGCAGATTCTACAGAAAGTGGGTTTGGAAACTGCTCCATCTAAAGGAATGTTCAGCTCTGTTAGTTCAATGCAATGATCACTAAGAATTGTACTGTGAATGCTTCCGTTTGGTTTTTAGATGAAGTTATTTCCTTTACTACAGTAGGCCTCAAAGCAGTCCAAATCTCCAATCGCAGATTCTACAAAAAGATTGTTTACAACCTGCTCTATCTATAGGAATGTTCAACTCTGTGAGTCGAATGCAATCATCACAAAGTAGTTTCTGAGAATGCTTCCATCTAGTTTTTATGTGAAGATTTTCCTTTTCCACCACAGGCCTCAAAGCCCTCCAAATGTCCACTTGCAGATTCTAGAAAAAGAGGGTTTCAGAGCTGCTCTGTCAAGAGGAAAGTTCAATTCTTGAAGTGGAACACAAACATCACAAAGCAGTTTCTGAGAATGCTTCTGTTTAGTTTTTCTGTGAAGATGAACCCGTTTCCAACGAAATCTTCACAGAGGTCCACATATCCACTTGCAGAATCCAAAGAAGGAGAGTTTCAAAACTGCTCCATCAGCAGGATTGTTCACCTCTGTGAGTTGAATGCAGTCATCACAGGAAACATTCTGAGAATGCTTCTGACAAGGTTTGATGTGAAGATATACCCGTTTCGAAGGAAGGCCACAAAGTGGTCCAAATATCCACTTGCAGATTCTACAAAAAGAGTGTTTGAAAGCTGAACTATGAAAGCAAGGTTCAACTCTGTGAGTTGAATGCAAACATCACAAAGAAGTTTCTCACAATGCTTCCGTGTAGTTCTGGGAAGTTTATCCCGTTTCCAACGAAATCCTCAGAGAAGTCCAAATATCCACTTGCAGATTCTACAGAAAGTGTGTTTGGAAACTGCTCCATGTAAAGGAATGTTCAGCTCTGTTAGTTCAATGCAATGATCACTAAGAATTGTCTGTGAATGCTTCCGTTTGGTTTTTAGATGAAGTTATTTCCTTTACTACAGTAGGCCTCAAAGCAGTCCAAATCTCCAATCGCAGATTCTACAAAAAGATTGTTTACAACCTGCTCTATCTATAGGAATGTTCAACTCTGTGAGTCGAATGCAATCATCACAAAGTAGTTTCTGAGAATGCTTCCATCTAGTTTTTATGGGAAGATTTTCCTTTTCCACCACAGGCCTCAAAGCCCTCCAAATGTCCACTTGCAGATTCTAGAAAAAGAGGGTTTCAGAGCTGCTCTGTCAAGAGGAAAGTTCAATTCTTGAAGTGGAACACAAACATCACAAAGCAGTTTCTGAGAATGCTCCTGTTTAGTTTTTCTGTGAAGATGAACCCGTTTCCAACGAAATCTTCACAGAGGTCCACATATCCACTTGCAGAATCCAAAGAAAGAGAGTTTCAAAACTGCTCCATCAGCAGGATTGTTCACCTCTGTGAGTTGAATGCAGTCATCACAGGAAACATTCTGAGAATGCTTCTGTCTAGGTTTGATGTGAAGATATACCCGTTTCGAAGGAAGGCCACAAAGTGGTCCAAATATCCACTTGCAGATTCTACAAAAAGAGTGTTTGAAAGCTGAACAATGAAAGCAGGGTTCAACTCTGTGAGTTGAATGCAAACATCCAAAGAAGTTTCTCAGAATGCTTCCGTGTAGTTCTGGGAAGTTTATCCCGTTTCCAACGAAATCCTCAGAGAGGTCCAAATATCCACTTGCAGATTCTACAGAAAGTGTGTTTGGAAACTGCGCCATCTAAGGGAATGTTCAGCTCTGTTAGTTCAATCCAATGATCACTAAGAATTGTACTGTGAATGCTTCCGTTTGGTTTTTAGATGAAGTTATTTCCTTTACTACAGTAGGCCTCAAAGCAGTCCAAATCTCCAATCGCAGATTCTACAAAAAGATTGTTTACAACCTGCTCTATCTATAGGAATGTTCAACTCTGTGAGTCGAATGCAATCATCACAAAGTAGTTTCTGAGAATGCTTCCATCTAGTTTTTATGTGAAGATTTTCCTTTTCCACCACAGGCCTCAAAGCCCTCAAAATGTCCACTTGCAGATTCTAGAAAAAGAGGGTTTCAGAGCTGCTCTGTCAAGAGGAAAGTTCAATTCTTGAAGTGGAACACAAACATCACAAAGTAGTTTCTGAGAATGCTCCTGTTTAGTTTTTCTGTGAAGATGAACCCGTTTCCAACGAAATCTTCACAGAGGTCCACATATCCACTTGCAGAATCCAAAGAAAGAGAGTTTCAAAACTGCTCCATCAGCAGGATTGTTCACCTCTGTGAGTTGAATGCAGTCATCACAGGAAACATTCTGAGAATGCTTCTGTCTAGGTTTGATGTGAAGATATACCCGTTTCGAAGGAAGGCCACAAAGTGGTCCAAATATCCACTTGCAGATTCTACAAAAAGAGTGTTTGAAAGCTGAACTATGAAAGCAAGGTTCAACTCTGTGAGTTGAATGCAAACATCACAAAGAAGTTTCTCAGAATGCTTCCGTGTAGTTCTGGGAATTTTAGCCCGTTTCCAACGAAATCCTCAGAGAAGTCCAAATATCCACTTGCAGATTCTACAGAAAGTGTGTTTGGAAACTGCTCCGTCTAAAGGAATGTTCAGCTCTGTTAGTTCAATCCAATGATCACTAAGAATTGTCTGTGAATGCTTCCGTTTGGTTTTTAGATGAAGTGATTTCCTTTACTACAGTAGGCCTCAAAGCAATCCAAATCTCCAATCGCAGATTCTACAAAAACATTGTTTACAACCTGCTCTATCTATAGGAATGTTCAACTCTGTGAGTCGAATGCAATCATCACAAAGTAGTTTCTGAGAATGCTTCCATCTAGTTTGTATGTGAAGATTTTCCTTTTCCACCACAGGCCTCAAAGCCCTCCAAATGTCCACTTGCAGATTCTAGAATAAGAGGGTTTCACAGCTGCTCTGTCAAGAGGAAAGTTCAATTCCTGAAGTGGAACAGAAACATCACAAAGCAGTTTCTGAGAATGCTTCTGTTTAGTTTTTCTGTGAAGATGAACCCTTTTCCAACGAAATCTGCACAGAGGTCCACATATCCACTTGCAGAATACAAAGAAAGAGAGTTTCAAAACTGCTCCATCAACAGGATTGTTCACCTCTGTGAGTTGAATGCAGTCATCACAGGAAACATTCTGAGAATGCTTCTGTCTAGGTTTGATGTGAAGATATACCCGTTTCGAAGGAAGGCCACAAAGTGGTCCAAATATCCACTTGCAGATTCTACAAAAAGAGTGTTTGAAAGCTGAACTATGAAAGCAAGGTTCAACTCTGTGAGTTGAATGCAAACATCACAAAGAAGTTTCTCACAATGCTTCCGTGTAGTTCTGGGAAGTTTATCCCGTTTCCAACGAAATCCTCAGTAGAGGTCCAAATATCCACCTGCAGATTCTACAGAAAGTGTGTTTGGAAACTGCGCCATCTACAGGAATGTTCAGCTCTGTTAGTTCAATGCAATGATCACTAAGAATTGTCTGTGAATGCTTCCGTTTGATTTTTAGATGAAGTTATTTCCTTTACTACAGTAGGCCTCAAAGCAGTCCAAATCTCCAATCGCAGATTCTACAAAAAGATTGTTTACAACCTGCTCTATCTATAGGAATGTTCAACTCTGTGAGTCGAATGCAATCATCACAAAGTAGTTTCTGAGAATGCTTCCATCTAGTTTTTATGTGAAGATTTTCCTTTTCCACCACAGGCCTCAAAGCCCTCCAAATGTCCACTTGCAGATTCTAGAAAAAGAGGGTTTCAGAGCTGCTCTGTCAAGAGGAAAGTTCAATTCTTGAAGTGGAACAGAAACATCACAAAGCAGTTTCTGGGAATGCTCCTGTTTAGTTTTTCTGTGAAGATGAACCCGTTTCCAACGAAATCTTCACAGAGGTCCACATATCCACTTGCAGAATCCAAAGAAAGAGAGTTTCAAAACTGCTCCATCAGCAGGATTGTTCACCTCTGTGAGTTGAATGCAGTCATCACAGGAAACATTCTGAGAATGCTTCTGTCTAGGTTTGATGTGAAGATATACCCGTTTCGAAGGAAGGCCACAAAGTGGTCCAAATATCCACTTGCAGATTCTACAAAAGGAGTGTTTGAAAGCTGAACTATGAAAGCAAGGTTCAACTCTGTGAGTTGAATGCAAACATCACAAAGAAGTTTCTCACAATGCTTCCGTGTAGTTCTGGGAAGTTTATCCCGTTTCCAACGAAATCCTCAGAGAAGTCCAAATATCCACTTGCAGATTCTACAGAAAGTGTGTTTGGAAACTGCTCCATCTAAAGGAATGTTCAGCTCTGTTAGTTCAATCCAATGATCACTAAGAATTGTCTGTGAATGCTTCCGTTTGGTTTTTAGATGAAGTTATTTCCTTTACTACACTAGGCCTCAAAGCAGTCCAAATCTCCAATCGCAGATTCTACAAAAAGATTGTTTACAACCTGCTCTATCTATAGGAATGTTCAACTCTGTGAGTCGAATGCAATCATCACAAAGTAGTTTCTGAGAATGCTTCCATCTAGTTTTTATGTGAAGATTTCCCTTTTCCACCACAGGCCTCAATGCCCTCCAAATGTCCACTTGCAGATTCTAGAAAAAGAGGGTTTCAGAGCTGCTCTGTCAAGAGGAAAGTTCAATTCTTGAAGTGGAACACAAACATCACAAAGCAGTTTCTGAGAATGCTTCTGTTTAGTTTTTCTGTGAAGATGAACCCGTTTCCAACGAAATCTTCACAGAGGTCCACATATCCACTTGCAGAATCCAAAGAAAGAGAGTTTCAAAACTGCTCCATCAGCAGGATTGTTCACCTCTGTGAGTTGAATGCAGTCATCACAGGAAACATTCTGAGAATGCTTCTGTCTAGGTTTGATGTGAAGATATACCCTTTTCAAAGGAAGGCCACAAAGTGGTCCAAATATCCACTTGCAGATTCTACAAAAAGAGTGTTTGAAAGCTGAACTATGAAAGCAAGGTTCAACTCTGTGAGTTGAATGCAAACATCACAAAGAAGTTTCTCACAAAGCTTTTCCATGTAGTTCTGGGAAGTTTATCCCGTTTCCAACGAAATCCTCAGAGAGGTCCAAATATCCACTTGCAGATTCTACAGAAAGTGTGTTTGGAAACTGCTCCATCTAAAGGAATGTTCAGCTCTGTTAGTTCAATCCAATGATCACTAAGAATTGTCTGTGAATGCTTCCGTTTGGTTTTTAGATGAAGTTATTTCCTTTACTACAGTAGGCTTCAAAGCAGTCCAAATCTCCAATCGCAGATTCTACAAAAAGATTGTTTACAACCTGCTCTATCTATAGGAATGTTCAACTCTGTGAGTCGAATGCAATCATCACAAAGTAGTTTCTGAGAATGCTTCCATAAAGTTTTTACGTGAAGATTTTCCTTTTCCACCACAGGCCTCAAAGCCCTCCAAATGTCCACTTGCAGATTCTAGAAAAAGAGGGTTTCAGAGCTGCTCTGTCAAGAGGAAAGTTCAATTCCTGAAGTGGAACACAAACATCACAAAGCAGTTTCTGAGAATGCTCCTGTTTAGTTTTTCTGTGAAGATGAACCCGTTTCCAACGAAATCTTCACAGAGGTCCACATATCCACTTGCAGAATCCAAAGAAAGAGAGTTTCAAAACTGCTCCATCAGCAGGATTGTTCACCTCTGTGAGTTGAATGCAGTCTTCACAGGAAACATTCTGAGAATGCTTCTGTCAAGGTTTGATGTGAAGATATACCCGTTTCGAAGGAAGGCTACAAATTGGTCCAAATATCCACTTGCAGATTCTACAAAAAGAGTGTTTGAAAGCTGAACTATGAAAGCAAGGTTCAACTCTGTGAGTTGAATGCAACCATCACAAAGAAGTTTCTCAGAATACTTCCGTGTAGTTCTGGGAAGTATATCCCGTTTCCAACGAAATCCTCAGAGAGGTCCAAATATCCACTTGCAGATTCTACAGAAAGTGTGTTTGGAAACTGCTCCATCTAAAGGAATGTTCAGCTCTGTTAGTTCAATCCAATGATCACTAAGCATTGTCTGTGAATGCTTCCGTTTGGTTTTTAGATGAAGTTATTTCCTTTACTACAGTAGGCCTCAAAGCAGTCCAAATCTCCAATCGCAGATTCTACAAAAAGATTGTTTACAACCTGCTGTATCTATAGGAATGTTCAACTCTGTGAGTCGAATGCAATCATCACAAAGTAGTTTCTGAGAATGCTTCCATCTAGTTTTTATGTGAAGATTTTCCTTTTCCACCACAGGCCTCAAAGCCCTCCAAATGTCCACTTGCAGATTCTAGAAAAAGAGGGTTTCAGAGCTGCTCTGTCAAGAGGAAAGTTCAATTCTTTAAGTGGAACACAAACATCACATAGCAGTTTCTGAGAATGCTCCTGTTTAGTTTTTCTGTGAAGATGAACCCGTTTCCAACGAAATCTTCACAGAGGTCCACATATCCACTTGCAGAATCCAAAGATGGAGAGTTTCAAAACTGCTCCATCAGCAGGATTGTTCACCTCTGTGAGTTGAATGCAGTCATCACAGGAAACATTCTGAGAATGCTTCTGTCTAGGTTTGATGTGAAGATATACCCGTTTCGAAGGAAGGCCACAAAGTGGTCCAAATATCCACTTGCAGATTCTACAAAAAGAGTGTTTGAAAGCTGAACTATGAAAGCAAGGTTCAACTCTGTGAGTTGAATGCAAACATCACAAAGAAGTTTCTCAGAATGCTTCCGTGTAGTTCTGGGAAGTTTATCCCGTTTCCAACGAAATCCTCAGAGAAGTCCAAATATCCACTTGCAGATTCTACAGAAAGTGTGTTTGGAAACTGCTCCATCTAAAGGAATGTTCAGCTCTGTTAGTTCAATGCAATGATCACTAAGAATTGTCTGTGAATGCTTCCGTTTGGTTTTTAGATGAAGTTATTTCCTTTACTACAGTAGGCCTCAAAGCAGTCCAAATCTCCAATCGCAGATTCTACAAAAAGATTGTTTACAACCTGCTCTATCTATAGGAATGTTCAACTCTGTGAGTCGAATGCAATCATCACAAAGTAGTTTCTGAGAATGCTTCCATCTAATTTTTATGTGAAGATTTTCCTTTTCCACCACAGGCCTCAAAGCCCTCCAAATGTCCACTTGCAGATTCTAGAAAAAGAGGGTTTCAGAGCTGCTCTGTCAAGAGGAAAGTTCAATTCTTGAAGTGGAACACAAACATAACAAAGCAGTTTCTGAGAATGCTTCTGTTTAGTTTTTCTGTGAAGATGAACCCGTTTCCAACGAAATCTTCACAGAGGTCCACATATCCACTTGCAGAATCCAAAGAAAGAGAGTTTCAAAACTGCTCCATCAGCAGGATTGTTCACCTCTGTGAGTTGAATGCAGTCATCACAGGAAACATTCTGAGAATGCTTCTGTCTAGGTTTGATGTGAAGATATACCCGTTTCGAAGGAAGGCCACAAAGTGGTCCAAATATCCACTTGCAGATTCTACAAAAAGAGTGTTTGAAAGCTGAACTATGAAAGCAAGGTTCAACTCTGTGAGTTGAATGCAAACATCACAAAGAAGTTTCTCACAATGCTTCCGTGTAGTTCTGGGAAGTTTATCCCGTTTCCAACGAAATCCTCAGAGAGGTCCAAATATCCACTTGCAGATTCTACAGAAAGTGTGTTTGGAAACTGCGCCATCTAAAGGAATGTTCAGCTCTGTTAGTTCAATGCAATGATCACTAAGAATTGTCTGTGAATGCTTCCGTTTGGTTTTTAGATGAAGTTATTTCCTTTACTACAGTAGGCCTCAAATCAGTCCAAATCTCCAATCGCAGATTCTACAAAAAGATTGTTTACAACCTGCTCTATCTATAGGAATGTTCAACTCTGTGAGTCGAATGCAATCATCACAAAGTAGTTTCTGAGAATGCTTCCATCTAGTTTTTATGTGAAGGTTTTCCTTTTCCACCACAGGCCTCAATGCCCTCCAAATGTCCACTTGCAGATTCTAGAAAAAGAGGGTTTCAGAGCTGCTCTGTCAAGAGGAAAGTTCAATTCTTGAAGTGGAACACAAACATCACAAAGCAGTTTCTGAGAATGCTTCTGTTTAGTTTTTCTGTGAAGATGAACCCGTTTCCAACGAAATCTTCACAGAGGTCCACATATCCACTTGCAGAATCCAAAGAAAGAGAGTTTCAAAACTGCTCCATCAACAGGATTGTTCACCTCTGTGAGTTGAATGCAGTCATCACAGGAAACATTCTGAGAATGCTTCTGTCTAGGTTTGATGTGAAGATATACCCGTTTCAAAGGAAGGCCACAAAGTGGTCCAAATATCCACTTGCAGATTCTACAAAAAGAGTGTTCGAAAGCTGAACTATGAAAGCAAGGTTCAACTCTGTGAGTTGAATGAAAACATCACAAAGAAGTTTCTCACAATGCTTCCGTGTAGTTCTGGGAAGTTTATCCCGTTTCCAACGAAATCCTCAGAGAGGTCCAAATATCCACTTGCAGATTCTACAGAAAGTGTGTTTGGAAACTACGCCATCTAAAGGAATGTTCAGCTCTGTTAGATCAATGCAATGATCACTAAGAATTGTCTGTGAATGCTTCCGTTTGGTTTTTAGATGAAGTTATTTCCTTTACTACAGTAGGCCTCAAAGCAGTCCAAATCTCCAATCGCAGATTCTACAAAAAGATTGTTTACAACCTGCTCTATCTATAGGAATGTTCAACTCTGTGAGTCGAATGCAATCATCACAAAGTAGTTTCTGAGAATGCTTCCATCTAGTTTTTATGTGAAGATTTTCCTTTTCCACCACAGGCCTCAAAGCCCTCCAAATGTCCACTTGCAGATTCTAGAAAAAGAGGGTTTCAGAGCTGCTCTGTCAAGAGGAAAGTTCAATTCTTGAAGTGGAACACAAACATCACAAAGCAGTTTCTGAGAATGCTCCTGTTTAGTTTTTCTGTGAAGATGAACCCGTTTCCAACGAAATCTTCACAGAGGTCCACATATCCACTTGCAGAATCCAAAGAAAGAGAGTTTCAAAACTGCTCCATCAGCAGGATTGTTCACCTCTGTGAGTTGAATGCAGTCATCACAGGAAACATTCTGAGAATGCTTCTGTCTAGGTTTGATGTGAAGATATACCCGTTTCGAAGGAAGGCCACAAAGTGGTCCAAATATCCACTTGCAGATTCTACAAAAAGAGTGTTTGAAAGCTGAACTATGAAAGCAAGGTTCAACTCTGTGAGTTGAATGCAAACATCACAAAGAAGTTTCTCACAATGCTTCCGTGTAGTTCTGGGAAGTTTATCCCGTTTCCAACGAAATCCTCAGAGAAGTCCAAATATCCCCTTGCAGATTCTACAGAAAGTGGGTTTGGAAACTGCTCCATCTAAAGGAATGTTCAGCTCTGTTAGTTCAATCCAATGATCACTAAGAATTGTCTGTGAATGCTTCCGTTTGGTTTTTAGATGAAGTTATTTCCTTTACTACAGTAGGCCTCAAAGCAGTCCAAATCTCCAATCGCAGATTCTACAAAAAGATTGTTTACAACCTGCTCTATCTATAGGAATGTTCAACTCTGTGAGTCGAATGCAATCATAACAAAGTAGTTTCTGAGAATGCTTCCATCTAGTTTTTATGTGAAGATTTTCCTTTTCCACCACAGGCCTCAAAGCCCTCCAAATGTCCACTTGCAGATTCTAGAAAAAGAGGGTTTCAGAGCTGCTCTGTCAAGAGGAAAGTTCAATTCTTGAAGTGGAACACAAACATCACAAAGCAGTTTCTGAGAATGTTTCTGTTTAGTTTTTCTGTGAAGATAAACCCATTTCCAATGAAATCTTCACAGAGGTCCACATATCCACTTGCAGAATCCAAAGAAAGAGAGTTTCAAAACTGCTCCATCAGCAGGATTGTTCACCTCTGTGAGTTGAATGCAGTCATCACAGGAAACATTCTGAGAATGCTTCTGTCTAGGTTTGATGTGAAGATATACCCGTTTCGAAGGAAGGCCACAAAGTGGTCCAAATATCCACTTGCAGATTCTACAAAAAGAGTGTTTGAAAGCTGAACTATGAAAGCAAGGTTCAACTCTGTGAGTTGAATGCAAACATCACAAAGAAGTTTCTCACAATGCTTCCGTGTAGTTCTGGGAAGTTTATCCCGTTTCCAACGAAATCCTCAGAGAAGTCCAAATATCCACTTGCAGATTCTACAGAAAGTGTGTTTGGAAACTGCTCCATCTAAAGGAATGTTCAGCTCTGTTAGTTCAATCCAATGATCACTAAGAATTGTCTGTGAATGCTTCCGTTTGGTTTTTAGATGAAGTTATTTCCTTTACTACAGTAGGCCTCAAAGCAGTCCAAATCTCCAATCGCAGATTCTACAAAAAGATTGTTTACAACCTGCTCTATCTATAGGAATGTTCAACTCTGTGAGTCGAATGCAATCATCACAAAGTAGTTTCTGAGAATGCTTCCATCTAGTTTTTATGTGAAGATTTTCCTTTTCCACCACAGGCCTCAAAGACCTCCAAATGTCCACTTGCAGATTCTAGAAAAAGAGGGTTTCATTGCTGCTCTGTCAAGAGGAAAGTTCAATTCTTGAAGTGGAACACAAACATCACAAAGCAGTTTCTGAGAATGCTCCTGTTTAGTTTTTCTGTGAAGATGAACACGTTTCCAACGAAATCTTCACAGAGGTCCGCATATCCACTTGCAGAATCCAAAGAAAGAGAGTTTCAAAACTGCTCCATCAGCAGGATTGTTCACCTCTGTGAGTTGAATGCAGTCATCACAGGAAACATTCTGAGAATTCTTCTGTCTAGGTTTGATGTGAAGATATACCCGTTTCGAAGGAAGGCCACAAAGTGGTCCAAATATCCACTTGCAGAATCTACAAAAAGAGTGTTTGAAAGCTGAACTATGAAAGCAAGTTTAAACTCTGTGAGTTGAATGCAAACATCACAAAGAAGTTTCTCAGAATGCTTCCGTGTAGTTCTGGGAAGTTTATCCCGTTTCCAACGAAATCCTCAGAGAAGTCCAAATATCCACTTTCAGATTCTACAGAAAGTGTGTTTGGAAACTGCTCCATCTAAAGGAATGTTCAGCTCTGTTAGTTCAATCCAATGATCACTAAGAATTGTCTGTGAATGCTTCCGTTTGGTTTTTAGATGAAGTTATTTCCTTTACTACAGTAGGCCTCAAAGCAGTCCAAATCTCCAATCGCAGATTCGACAAAAAGATTGTTTACAACCTGCTCTATGTATAGGAATGTTCAACTATGTGAGTCGAATGCAATCATCACAAAGTAGTTTCTGAGAATGCTTCCATCTAGTTTTTATGTGAAGATTTTCCTTTTCCACCACAGGCCTCAAAGCCCTCCAAATGTCCACTTGCAGATTCTAGAAAAAGAGGGTTTCAGAGCTGCTCTGTCAAGAGGAAAGTTCAATTCCTGAAGTGGAACACAAACATCACAAAGCAGTTTCTGAGAATGCTTCTGTTTAGTTTTTCTGTGAAGATGAACCCGTTTCCAACGAAATCTTCACAGAGGTCCACATATCCACTTGCAGAATCCAAAGAAAGAGAGTTTCAAAACTGCTCCATCAGCAGGATTGTTCACCTCTGTGAGTTGAATGCAGTCATCACAGGAAACATTCTGAGAATGCTTCTGTCTAGGTTTGATGTGAAGATGTACCCGTTTCAAAGGAAGGCCACAAAGTGGTCCATATATCCACTTGCAGATTCCACAAAAAGATTGTTTGAAAGCTGAACTATGAAAGCAAGGTTCAACTCTGTGAGTTGAATGCAAACATCACAAAGAAGTTTCTCAGAATGCTTCCGTGTAGTTCTGGGAAGTTTATCCCTTTTCCAACGAAATCCTCAGAGAGGTCCAAATATCCACTTGCAGATTCTACAGAAAGTGTGTTTGGAAACTACGCCATCTAAAGGAATGTTCAGCTCTGTTAGATCAATGCAATGATCACTAAGAATTGTCTGTGAATGCTTCCGTTTGGTTTTTAGATGAAGTTATTTCCTTTACTACAGTAGGACTCAAAGCAGTCCAAATCTCCAATCGCAGATTCTACAAAAAGATTGTTTACAACCTGCTCTATCTATAGGAATGTTCAACTCTGTGAGTCGAATGCAATCATCACAAAGGAGTTTCTGAGAATGCTTCCATCTAGTTTTTATGTGAAGATTTTCCTTTTCCACCACAGGCCTCAAAGCCCTCCAAATGTCCACTTGCAGATTCTAGAAAAAGAGGGTTTCAGAGCTGCTCTGTCAAGAGGAAAGTTCAATTCTTGAAGTGGAACACAAACATCACAAAGCAGTTTCTGAGAATGCTTCTGTTTAGTTTTTCTGTGAAGATGAACCCGTTTCCAACGAAATCTTCACAGAGGTCCACATATCCACTTGCAGAATCCAAAGAAAGAGAGTTTCAAAACTGCTCCATCAGCAGGATTGTTCACCTCTGTGAGTTGAATGCAGTCATCACAGGAAACATTCTGAGAATGCTTCTGTCTAGGTTTGATGTGAAGATATACCCGTTTCGAAGGAAGGCCAGAAAGTGGTCCAAATATCCACTTGCAGATTCTACAAAAAGAGTGTTTGAAAGCTGAACTATGAAAGCAAGGTTCAACTCTGTGAGTTGAATGCAAACATCACAAAGAAGTTTCTCAGAATGCTTCCGTGTAGTTCTGGGAAGTTTATCCCGTTTCCAACGAAATCCTCAGAGAAGTCCAAATATCCACTTGCAGATTCTGCAGAAAGTGTGTTTGGAAACTTCTCCATCTAAAGGAATGTTCAGCTCTGTTAGTTCAATCCAATGATCACTAAGAATTGTCTGTGAATGCTTCCGTTTGGTTTTTAGATGAAGTTATTTCCTTTACTACAGTAGGCCTCAAAGCAGTCCAAATCTCCAATCGCAGATTCTACAAAAAGATTGTTTACAACCTGCTCTATCTATAGGAATGTTCAACTCTGTGAGTCGAATGCAATCATCACAAAGTAGTTTCTGAGAATGCTTCCATCTAGTTTTTATGTGAAGATTTTCCTTTTCCACCACAGGCCTCAAAGCCCTCCAAATGTCCACTTGCAGATTCTAGAATAAGAGGGTTTCAGAGCTGCTCTGTCAAGAGGAAAGTTCAATTCCTGAAGTGGAACACAAACATCACAAAGCAGTTTCTGAGAATGCTTCTGTTTAATTTTTCTGTGAAGATGAACCCGTTTCCAACGAAATCTTCACAGAGGTCCACATATCCACTTGCAGAATCCAAAGAAAGAGAGTTTCAAAACTGCTCCATCAGCAGGATTGTTCACCTCTGTGAGTTGAATGCAGTCATCACAGGAAACATTCTGAGAATGCTTCTGTCTAGGTTTGATGTGAAGATATACCCGTTTCGAAGGAAGGCCACAAAGTGGTCCAAATATCCACTTGCAGATTCTACAAAAAGAGTGTTTGAAAGCTGAACTATGAAAGCGAGGTTCAACTCTGTGAGTTGAATGCAAACATCACAAAGAAGTTTCTCACAATGCTTCCGTGTAGTTCTGCGAAGTTTATCCCGTTTCCAAAGAAATCCTCAGAGAGTTCCAAATATCCACTTGCAGATTCTACAGAAAGTGGGTTTGAAAACTGCTCCATCTAAAGGAATGTTCAGCTCTGTTAGTTCAATCCAATGATCACTAAGAATTGTCTGTGAATGCTTCCGTTTGGTTTTTAGATGAAGTTATTTCCTTTACTACAGTAGGCCTCAAAGCAGTCCAAATCTCCAATCGCAGATTCTACAAAAAGATTGTTTACAACCTGCTCTATCTATAGGAATGTTCAACTCTGTGAGTCGAATGCAATCATCACAAAGTAGTTTCTGAGAATGCTTCCATCTAGTTTTTATGTGAAGATTTTCCTTTTCCACCACAGGCCTCAAAGCCCTCCAAATGTCCACTTGCAGATTCTAGAAAAAGAGGGTTTCAGAGCTGCTCTGTGAAGAGGAAAGTTCAATTCTTGAAGTGGAACACAAACATCACAAAGTAGTTTCTGAGAATGCTCCTGTTTAGTTTTTCTGTGAAGATGAACCCGTTTCCAACGAAATCTTCACAGAGTTCCACCTATCCACTTGCAGAATCAAAAGAAACGGAGTTTCAAAATGGCTCCATCAACAGGATTGTTCACCTCTGTGAGTTGAATGCAGTCATCACAGGAAACATTCTGAGAATGCTTCTGTCTAGGTTTGATGTGAAGATATACCCGTTTCGAAGGAAGGCCACAAAGTGGTCCAAATATCCACTTGCAGATTCTACAAAAAGAGTGTTTGAAAGCTGAACTATGAAAGCAAGGTTCAACTCTGTGAGTTGAATGCAAACATCACAAAGAAGTTTCTCAGAATGCTTCCGTGTAGTTCTGGGAAGTTTATCCCGTTTCCAACGAAATCCTCAGAGAGGTCCAAATATCCACTTGCAGATTCTACAGAAAGTGGGTTTGGAAACTGCGCCATCTAAAGCAATGTTCAGCTCTGTTAGTTCAATGCAATGATCACTAAGAATTGTCTGTGAATGCTTCCGTTTGGTTTTTAGATGAAGTTATTTCCTTTACTACAGTAGGCCTCAAAGCAGTCCAAAACTCCAATCGCAGATTCTACAAAAAGATTGTTTACAACCTGCTCTATCTATAGGAATGTTCAACTCTTTGAGTCGAATGCAATCATCACAAAGTAGTTTCTGAGAATGCCTCCATCTAGTTTTTATGTGAAGATTTTCCTTTTCCACCACAGGCCTCAAAGCCCTCCAAATGTCCACTTGCAGATTCTAGAAAAAGAGGGTTTCAGAGCTGCTCTGTCAAGAGGAAAGTTCAATTCTTGAAGTGGAACACAAACATCACAAAGCAGTTTCTGAGAATGCTCCTGTTTAGTTTTTCTGTGAAGATGAACCCGTTTCCAACGAAATCTTCACAGAGGTCCACATATCCACTTGCAGAATCCAAAGAAAGAGAGTTTCAAAACTGCTCCATCAACAGGATTGTTCACCTCTGTGAGTTGAATGCAGTCATCACAGGAAACATTCTGAGAATGCTTCTGTCTAGGTTTGATGTGAAGATATACCCGTTTCGAAGGAAGGCCACAAAGTGGTCCAAATATCCACTTGCAGATTCTACAAAAAGAGTGTTTGAAAGCTGAACTATGAAAGCAAGTTTCAACTCTGTGAGTTGAATGCAAACATCACAAAGAAGTTTCTCAGAATGCTTCCGTGTAGTTCTGGGAAGTTTATCCCGTTTCCAACGAAATCCTCAGAGAGGTCCAAATATCCACTTGCAGATTCTACAGAAAGTGTGTTTGGAAACTGCGCCATCTAAAGGAATGTTCAGCTCTGTTAGTTCAATGCAATGATCACTAAGAATTGTCTGTGAATGCTTCCGTTTGGTTTTTAGATGAAGTTATTTCCTTTACTACAGTAGGCCTCAAAGCAGTCCAAATCTCCAATCGCAGATTCTACAAAAAGATTGTTTACAACCTGCTCTATGTATAGGAATGTTCAACTCTGTGAGTCGAATGCAATCATCACAAAGTAGTTTCTGAGAATGCTTCCATCTAGTTTTTATGTGAAGATTTTCCTTTTCCACCACAGGCCTCAAAGCCCTCCAAATGTCCACTTGCAGATTCTAGAAAAAGAGGGTTTCAGAGCTGCTCTGTCAAGAGGAAAGTTCAATTCCTGAAGTGGAACACAAACATCACAAAGCAGTTTCTGAGAATGCTCCTGTTTAGTTTTTCTGTGAAGATGAACCCGTTTCCAACGAAATCTTCACAGAGGTCCACATATCCACTTGCAGAATCCAAAGAAAGAGAGTTTCAAAACTGCTCCATCAGAAGGATTGTTCACCTCTGTGAGTTGAATGCAGTCATCACAGGAAACATTCTGAGAATGCTTCTGTCTAGGTTTGATGTGAAGATATACCCGTTTCGAAGGAAGGCCACAAAGTGGTCCAAATATCCACTTGCAGATTCTACAAAAAGAGTGTTTGAAAGCTGAACTATGAAAGCAAGGTTCAACTCTGTGAGTTGAATGCAAACATCACAAAGAAGTTTCTCAGAATGCTTCCGTGTAGTTCTGGGAAGTTTATCCCGTTTCCAACGAAATCCTCAGAGAGGTCCAAATATCCACTTGCAGATTCTACAGAAAGTGTGTTTGGAAACTGCGCCATCTAAAGGAATGTTCAGCTCTGTTAGTTCAATCCAATGATCACTAAGAATTGTCTGTGAATGCTTCCGTTTGGTTTTTAGATGAACTTATTTCCTTTACTACAGTAGGCCTCAAAGCAGTCCAAATCTCCAATCTCAGATTCTACAAAAAGATTGTTTACAACCTGCTCTATCTATAGGAATGTTCAACTCTGTGAGTCGAATGCAATCATCCCAAAGTAGTTTCTGAGAATGCTTCCATCTAGTTTTTATGTGAAGATTTTCCTTTTCCACCACAGGCCTCAAAGCCCTCCAAATGTCCACTTGCAGATTCTAGAAAAAGAGGGTTTCAGAGCTGCTCTGTCAAGAGGAAAGTTCAATTCTTGAAGTGGAACACAAACATCACAAAGCAGTTTCTGAGAATGCTTCTGTTTAGTTTTTCTGTGAAGATGAACCCGTTTCCAAAGAAATCTTCACAGAGGTCCACATATCCACTTGCAGAATCCAAAGAAAGAGAGTTTCAAAACTGCTCCATCAGCAGGATTGTTCACCTCTGTGAGTTGAATGCAGTCATCACAGGAAACATTCTGAGAATGCTTCTGTCTATGTTTCATGTGAAGATATACCCGTTTCGAAGGAAGGCCACAAAGTGGTCCAAATATCCACTTGCAGATTCTACAAAAAGAGTGTTTGAAAGCTGAACTATGAAAGCAAGGTTCAACTCTGTGAGTTGAATGCAAACATCCAAAGAAGTTTCTCAGAATGCTTCCGTGTAGTTCTGGGAAGTTTATCCCGTTTCCAACGAAATCCTCAGAGAAGTCCAAATATCCACTTGCAGATTCTACAGAAAGTGTGTTTGGAAACTGCTCCATCTAAAGGAATGTTCAGCTACTGTTAGTTCAATCCAATGATCACTAGGAATTGTCTGTGAATGCTTCCGTTTGGTTTTTAGATGAAGTTATTTCCTTTACTACAGTAGGCCTCAAAGCAGTCCAAATCTCCAATCGCAGATTCTACAAAAAGATTGTTTACAACCTGCTCTATCTATAGGAATGTTCAACTCTGTGAGTCGAATGCAATCATCACAAAGTAGTTTCTGAGAATGCTTCCATGTAGTTTTTATGTGAAGATTTTCCTTTTCCACCACAGGCCTCAAAGCCCTCCAAATGTCCACTTGCAGATTCTAGAAAAAGAGGGTTTCAGAGCTGCTCTGTCAAGAGGAAAGTTCAATTCTTGAAGTGGAACACAAACATCACAAAGCAGTTTCTGAGAATGTCCTGTTTAGTTTTTCTGTGAAGATGAACCCGTTTCCAACGAAATCTTCACAGAGGTCCACATATCCACTTGCAGAATCCATAGAAAGAGAGTTTCAAAACTGCTCCATCAGCAGGATTGTTCACCTCTGTGAGTTGAATGCAGTCATCACAGGAAACATTCTGAGAATGCTTCTGTCTAGGTTTGATGTGAAGATATACCCCTTTCGAAGGAAGGCCACAAAGTGGTCCAAATATCCACTTGCAGATTCTACAAAAAGAGTGTTTGAAAGCTGAACTATGAAAGCAAGGTTCAACTCTGTGAGTTGAATGCAAACATCAAAAAGAAGTTTCTCACAATGCCTCCGTGTGGTTCTGCGAAGTTTATCCCGTTTCCAACGAAATCCTCAGAGAAGTCCAAATATCCACTTGCAGATTCTACAGAAAGTGGGTTTGGAAACTGCTCCATCTAAAGGAATGTTCAGCTCTGTTAGTTCAATGCAATGATCACTAAGAATTGTCTGTGAATGCTTCCGTTTGGTTTTTAGATGAAGTTATTTCCTTTACTACAGTAGGCCTCAAAGCAGTCCAAATCTCCAATCCCAGATTCTACAAAAAGATTGTTTACAACCTGCTCTATCTATAGGAATGTTCAACTCTGTGAGTCGAATGCAATCATCACAAAGTAGTTTCTGAGAATGCTTCCATCTAGTTTTTATGTGAAGATTTTCCTTTTCCACCACAGGCCTCAAAGCCCTCCAAATGTCCACTTGCAGATTCTAGAATAAGAGGGTTTTAGAGCTGCTCTGTCAAGAGGAAAGTTCAATTCCTGAAGTGGAACACAAACATCACAAAGCAGTTTCTGAGAATGCTTCTGTTTAGTTTTTCTGTGAAGATGAACCGGTTTCCAACGAAATCTTCACAGAGGTCCACATATCAACTTGCAGAATCCAAAGAAAGAGAGTTTCAAAAGTGCTCCATCAACAGGATTGTTCACCTACTGTGAGTTGAATGCAGTCATCACAGGAAACATTCTGATAATGCTTCTGTCTAGGTTTGATGTGAAGATATACCCGTTTCGAAGGAAGGCCACAAAGTGGTCCAAATATCCACTTGCAGATTCTACAAAAAGAGTGTTTGAAAGCTGAATTATGAAAGCAAGGTTCAACTCTGTGAGTTGAATGCAAACATCACAAAGAAGTTTCTCACAATGCTTCCGTGTAGTTCTGGGAAGTTTATCCCGTTTCCAACGAAATCCTCAGAGAAGTCCAAATATCCACTTGCAGATTCTACAGAAAGTGTGTTTGGAAACTGCTCCATCTAAAGGAATCTTCAGCTCTGTTAGTTCAATCCAATGATCACTAAGAATTGTCTGTGAATGCTTCCGTTTGGTTTTTAGATGAAGTTATTTCCTTTACTACAGTAGGCCTCAAAGCTGTCCAAATCTCTAATCGCAGATTCTACAAAAAGATTGTTTACAACCTGGTCTCTCTATAGGAATGTTCAACTCTGTGAGTCGAATGCAATCATCACAAAGTAGTTTCTGAGAATGCTTCCATCTAGTTTTTATATGAAGATTTTCCTTTTCCACCACAGGCCTCATAGCCCTCCAAATGTCCACTTGCAGATTCTAGAAAAAGAGGGTTTCAGGGCTGCTCTGTCAAGAGGAAAGTTCAATTCCTGAAGTGGAACACAAACATCACAAAGCAGTTTCTGAGAATGCTCCCGTTTAGTTTTTCTGTGAAGATGAACCCGTTTCCAACGAAATCTTCACAGAGGTCCACATATCCACTTGCAGAATCCAAAGAAAGAGAGTTTCAAAACTGCTCCATCAGCAGGATTGTTCACCTCTGTGAGTTGAATGCAGTCATCACAGGAAACATTCTGAGAATGCTTCTGTCTAGGTTTGATGTGAAGATGTACCCGTTTCAAAGGAAGGCCACAAAGTGGTCCAAATATCCACTTGCAGATTCTACAAAAAGAGTGTTTGAAAGCTGAACTATGAAAGCAAGGTTCAACTCTGTGAGTTGAATGCAAACATCAGAAAGATGATTCTCACAATGCTTCCGTGTAGTTCTGGGAAGTTTATCCCGTTTCCAACGAAATCCTCAGAGAAGTCCAAATATCCACTTGCAGATTCTGCAGAAAGTGTGTTTGGAAACTGCTCCATCTAAAGGAATGTTCAGCTCTGTTAGCTCAATCCAATGATCACCAAGAATTGTCTGTGAATGCTTCCGTTTGGTATTTAGATGAAGTTATTTCCTTTACTACAGTAGGCCTCAAAGCAGTCCAAATCTCCAATCGCAGATTGTACAAAAACATTGTTTACAACCTGCTCTATCTATAGGAATGTTCAACTCTGTGAGTCGAATGCAATCATCACAAAGTAGTTTCTGAGAATGCTTCCATCTAGTTTTTATGTGAAGATTTTCCTTTTCCACCACAGGCCTCAAAGGCCTCCAAATGTCCACTTGCAGATTCTAGAATAAGAGGGTTTCAGAGCTGCTCTGTCAAGAGGAAAGTACAATTCCTGAAGTGGAACACAAACATCACAAAGCAGTTTCTGAGTATGCTTCTGTTTAGTTTTTCTGTGAAGATGAACCCGTTTCCAACGAAATCTTCACAGAGGTCCACATATCCACTTGCAGAATCCAAAGAAAGAGAGTTTCAAAACTGCTCCATCAGCAGGATTGTTCACCTCTGTGAGTTGAATGCAGTCATCACAGGAAACATTCTGAGAATGCTTCTGTCTAGGTTTGATGTGAAGATATACCCGTTTCGAAGGAAGGCCACAAAGTGGTCCAAATATCCACTTGCAGATTCTACAAAAAGAGTGTTTGAAAGCTGAACTATGAAAGCAAGGTTCAACTCTGTGAGTTGAATGCAAACATCACAAAGAAGTTTCTCAGCATGCTTCCGTGTAGTTCTGGGAAGTTTATCCCGTTTCCAACGAAATCCTCAGAGAAGTCCAAATATCCACTTGCAGATTCTACAGAAAGTGTGTTTGGAAACCGCTCCATCTAAAGGAATGTTCAGCTCTGTTAGTTCAATGCAATGATCACTAAGAATTGTCTGTGAATGCTTCCGTTTGGTTTTTAGATGAAGTTATTTCCTTTACTACAGTAGGCCTCAAAGCAGTCCAAATCTCCAATCGCAGATTCTACAAAAAGATTGTTTACAACCTGCTCTATCTATAGGAATGTTCAACTCTGTGAGTCGAATGCAATCATCACAAAGTAGTTTCTGAGAATGCTTCCATCTAGTTTTTATGTGAAGATTTTCCTTTTCCACCACAGGGCTCAAAGCCCTCCAAATGTCCACTTGCAGATTCTAGAAAAAGAGGGTTTCAGAGCTGCTCTGTCAAGAGGAAAGTTCAATTCCTGAAGTGGAACACAAACATCACAAAGCAGTTTCTGAGAATGCTCCTGTTTAGTTTTTCTGTGAAGATGAACCCGTTTCCAACGAAATCTTCACAGAGGTCCATATATCCACTTGCAGAATCCAAAGAAAGAGAGTTTCAAAACTGCTCCATCAGCAGGATTGTTCACCTCTGTGAGTTGAATGCAGTCATCACAGGAAACATTCTGAGAATGCTTCTGTCTAGGTTTGATGTGAAGATATACCCGTTTCGAAGGAAGGCCACAAAGTGGTCCAAATATCCACTTGCAGATTCTACAAAAAGAGTGTTTGAAAGCTGAACTATGAAAGCAAGGTTCAACTCTGTGAGTTGAATGCAAACATCACAAAGAAGTTTCTCAGAATGCTTCCGTGTAGTTCTGGGAAGTTTATCCCGTTTCCAACGAAATCCTCAGTAGAGGTCCAAATATCCACTTGCAGATTCTACAGAAATTGTGTTTGGAAACTGCTCCATCTAAAGGAATGTTCAGCTCTGTTAGTTCAATCCAATGATCACTAAGAATTGTCTGTGAATGCTTCCGTTTGGTTTTTAGATGAAGTTATTTCCTTTACTACAGTAGGCCTCAAAGCAGTCCAAATCTCCAATCGCAGATTCTACAAAAAGATTGTTTACAACCTGCTCTATCTATAGGAATGTTCAACTCTGTGAGTCGAATGCAATCATCACAAAGTAGTTTCTGAGAATGCTTCCATCTAGTTTTTATGTGAAGATTTTCCTTTTCCACCACAGGCCTCAAAGCCCTCCAAATGTCCACTTGCAGATTCTAGAAAAAGAGGGTTTCAGAGCTGCTCTGTCAAGAGGAAAGTTCAATTCTTGAAGTGGAACACAAACATCACAAAGCAGTTTCTGAGAATGCTCCTGTTTAGTTTTTCTGTGAAGATGAACCCGTTTCCAACGAAATCTTCACAGAGGTCCACATATCCACTTGCAGAATCCAAAGAAAGAGAGTTTCAAAACTGCTCCATCAGCAGGATTGTTCACCTCTGTGAGTTGAATGCAGTCATCACAGGAAACATTCTGAGAATGCTTCTGTCTAGGTTTGATGTGAAGATATACCCGTTTCGAAGGAAGGCCACAAATTGGTCCAAATATCCACTTGCAGATTCTACAAAAAGAGTGTTTGAAAGCTGAACTATGAAAGCAAGGTTCAACTCTGTGAGTTGAATGCAAACATCACAAAGAAGTTTTTCAGAATGCTTCCGTGTAGTTCTGGGAAGTTTATCCCGTTTCCAACAAAATCCTCAGAGAGGTCCAAATATCCACTTGCAGATTCTACAGAAAGTGTGTTTGGAAACTGCGCCATCTAAAGGAATGTTCAGCACTGTTAGTTCAATCCAATGATCACTAAGAATTGTCTGTGAATGCTTCCGTTTGGTTTTTAGATGAAGTTATTTCCTTTACTACAGTAGGCCTCAAAGCAGTCCAAATCTCCAATCGCAGATTCTACAAAAAGATTGTTTACAACCTGCTCTATCTGTAGGAAAGTTCAACTCTGTGAGTCGAATGCAATCATCACAAAGGAGTTTCTGAGAATGCTTCCATCTAATTTTTATGTGAAGATTTTCCTTTTCCACCACAGGCCTCAAAGCCCTGCAAATGTCCACTTGCAGATTCTAGAATAAGAGGGTTTCAGAGCTGCTCTGTCAAGAGGAAAGTTCAATTCCTGAAGTGGAACACAAACATCACAAAGCAGTTTCTGAGAATGCTCCTCTTTAGTTTTTCTGTGAAGATGTACCCGTTTCCAACGAAATCTTCACAGAGGTCCACATATCCACTTGCAGAATCCAAAGAAAGAGAGTTTCAAAACTGCTCCAACAGCAGGATTGTTCACCTCTGTGAGTTGAATGCAGTCATCACAGGAAACATTCTGAGAATGCTTCTGTCTAGGTTTGATGTGAAGATATACCCGTTTCGAAGGAAGGCCACAATGTGGTCCAAATATCCACTTGCAGATTCTACAAAAAGAATGTTTGAAAGCTGAACTATGAAAGCAAGGTTCAACTCTGTGAGTTGAATGCAAACATCACAAAGAAGTTTCTCACAATGCTTCCGTGTAGTTCTGGGAAGTTTATCCCGTTTCCAACGAAATCCTCAGAGAGCTCCAAATATCCACTTGCAGATTCTACAGAAAGTGTGTTTGGAAACTGCGCCATCTAAAGGAATGTTCAGCTCTGTTTGTTCAATCCAATGATCACTAAGAATTGTCTGTGAATGCTTCCGTTTGGTTTTTAGATGAAGTTATTTCCTTTACTACAGTAGGCCTCAAAGCAGTCCAAATCTCCAATCGCAGATTCTACAAAAAAATTGTTTACAACCTGCTCTATCTATAGGAATGTTCAACTCTGTGAGTCGAATGCAATCATCACAAAGTAGTTTTCTGAGAATGCTTCTATCTAGGTTTTATGTGAAGATGTTTCCTTTTCCACCACAGGCCTCAAAGCCCTCCAAATGTCCACTTGCAGATTCTAGAAAAAGGGAGTTTCAGAGCAGCTCTGTCAAGAGGAAAGTTCAATTCTTGAAGTGGAACACAAACATCACAAAGGAGTTTCTGAGAATGCTCCTGTTTAGTTTTTCTGTGAAGATGAACCCGTTTCCAACGAAATCTTCACAGAGGTCCACATATCCACTTGCAGAATCCATAGAAAGAGAGTTTCAAAACTGCTCCATCAGCAGGATTGTTCACCTCTGTGAGTTGAATGCAGTCATCACAGGAAATATTCTGAGAATGCTTCTGTCTAGGTTTGATGTGAAGATATACCCGTTTCGAAGGAAGGCCACAAAGTGGTCCAAATATCCACTTGCAGATTCTACAAAAAGAGTGTTTGAAAGCTGAACTATGAAAGCAAGGTTCAACTCTGTGAGTTGAATGCAAACATCACAAAGAAGTTTCTCAGAATGCTTCCGTGTAGTTCTGGGAAGTTTATCCCGTTTCCAACGAAATCCTCAGAGAGGTCCAAATATCCACTTGCAGATTCTACAGAAAGTGTGTTTGGAAACTGTTCCATCTACAGGAATGTTCAGCTCTGTTAGTTCAATCCAATGATCACTAAGAATTGTCTGTGAATGCTGCCGTTTGGTTTTTAGATGAAGTTATTTCCGTTACTACAGTAGGCCTCAAAGCAGTCCAAATCTCCAATCGCAGATTCTACAAAAAGATTGTTTACAACCTGCTCTATCTATAGGAATGTTCTACTCTGTGAGTCGAATGCAATCATCACAAAGTAGTTTCTGAGAATGCTTCCATCTAGTTTTTATGTGAAGATTTTCCTTTTCCACCACAGTCCTCAAAGCCCTCCAAATGTCCACTTACAGATTCTAGAAAAAGAGGGTTTCAGAGCTGCTCTGTCAAGAGCAAAGTTCAATTCTTGAAGTGGAACACAAACATCACAAAGCAGTTTCTGAGAATGCTTCTGTTTAGTTTTTCTGTGAAGATGAAACCGTTTCCAACGAAATCTTCACAGAGGTCCACATATCCACTTGCAGAATCAAAAGAAAGAGAGTTTCAAAACTGCTCCATCAACAGGATTGTTCACCTCTGTGAGTTGAATGCAGTCATCACAGGAAACATTCTGAGAATGCTTCTGTCTAGGTTTGATGTGAAGATATACCCGTTTCGAAGGAAGGCCACAAAGTGGTCCAAATATCCACTTGCAGATTCTACAAAAAGAGTGTTTGAAAGCTGAACTATGAAAACAAGGTTCAACTCTGTGAGTTGAATGCAAACATCACAAAGAAGTTTCTCAGAATGCTTCCGTGTAGTTCTGGGAAGTTTATCCCGTTTCCAACGAAATCCTCAGAGAAGTCCAAATATCCACTTGCAGATTCTACAGAAAGTGTGTTTGGAAACTGCTCCATCTAAAGGAATGTTCAGCTCTGTTAGTTCAATCCAATGATCACTAAGAATTGTCTGTGAATGCTTCCGTTTGGTTTTTAGATGAAGTTATTTCCTTTACTACAGTAGACCTCAAAGCAGTCCAAATCTCCAATCGCAGATTCTACAAAAAGATTGTTTACAACCTGCTCTATCTATAGGAATGTTCATCTCTGTGAGTCGAATGCAATCATCACAAAGTAGTTTCTGAGAATGCTTCCATCTAGTTTTTATGTGAAGATTTTCCTTTTCCACCACAGGCCTCAAAGCCCTCCAAATGTCCACTTGCAGATTCTAGAATAAGAGGGTTTCAGAGCTGCTCTGTCAAGAGGAAAGTTCAATTCCTGAAGTGGAACACAAACATCACAAAGCAGTTTCTGAGAATGCTTCTGTTTAGTTTTTCTGTGAAGATGAACCCGTTTCCAACGAAATCTTCACAGAGGTCCACATATCCACTTGCAGAATCCAAAGAAAGAGAGTTTCAAAACTGCTCCATCAGCAGGATTGTTCACCTCTGTGAGTTGAATGCAGTCATCACAGGAAACATTCTGAGAATGCTTCTGTCTAGGTTTGATGTGAAGATATACCCGTTTCCAAGGAAGGCCACAAAGTGGTCCAAATATCCACTTGCAGATTCTACAAAAGGAGTGTTTGAAAGCTGAACTATGAAAGCAAGGTTCAACTCTGTGAGTTGAATGCAAACATCACAAAGAAGTTTCTCACAATGCTTCCGTGTAGTTCTGGGAAGTTTATCCCGTTTCCAACGAAATCTTCAGAGAAGTCCAAATATCCACTTGCAGACTCTACAGAAAGTGGGTTTGGAAACTGCTCCATCTAAAGGAATGTCCAGCTCTGTTAGTTCAATCCAATGATCACTAAGAATTGTCTGTGAATGCTTCCGTTTGGTTTTTAGATGAAGTTATTTCCTTTACTACAGTAGGCCTCAAAGCAGTCCAAATCTCCAATCGCAGATTCTACAAAAAGATTGTTTACAACCTGCTCTATCTATAGGAATGTTCAACTCTGTGAGTCGAATGCAATCATCACAAAGTAGTTTCTGAGAATGCTTCCATCTAGTTTTTATGTGAAGATTTTCCTTTTCCACCACAGGCCTCAAAGCCCTCCAAATGTCCACTTGCAGATTCTAGAAAAAGAGGGTTTCAGAGCTGCTCTGTCAAGAGGAAAGTTCAATTCTTGAAGTGGAACACAAACATCACAAAGCAATTTCTGAGAATGCTTCTGTTTAGTTTTTCTGTGAAGATGAACCCGTTTCCAACGAAATCTTCACAGAGGTCCACATATCCACTTGCAGAATCCAAAGAAAGAGAGTTTCAAAACTGCTCCATCAACAGGATTGTTCACATCTGTGAGTCCAATGCGGTCATCACAGGAAACATTCTGAGAATGCTTCTGTCTAGGTTTGATGTGAAGATATACCCGTTTCGAAGGAAGGCCACAAAGTGGTCCAAATATCCACTTGCAGATTCTACAAAAAGAGTGTTTGAAAGCTGAACTATGAAAACAAGGTTCAACTCTGTGAGTTGAATGCAAACATCACAAAGAAGTTTCTCAGAATGCTTCCGTGTAGTTCTGGGAAGTTTATCCCGTTTCCAACGAAATCCTCAGAGAGGTCCAAATATCCACTTGCAGATTCTACAGAAAGTGTGTTTGGAAACTGCGCCATCTAAAGGAATGTTCAGCTCTGTTGGTTCAATGCAATGATCACTAAGAATTGTCTGTGAATGCTTCCGTTTGGTTTTTAGATGAAGTTATTTCCTTTACTACATTAGGCCTCAAAGCAGTCCAAATCTCCAATCGCAGATTCTACAAAAAGATTGTTTACAACCTGCTCTATCTATAGGAATGTTCAACTCTGTGAGTCGAATGCAATCATCACAGAGTAGTTTCTGAGAATGCTTCCATCTAGTTTTTATGTGAAGATTTTCCTTTTCTACCACAGGCCTCAAAGCCCTCCAAATGTCCACTTGCAGATTCTAGAAATAGAGGGTTTCAGAGTTGCTCTGTCAAGAGGAAAGTTCAATTCCTGAAGTGGAACACAAACATCACAAAGCAGTTTCTGAGAATGCTTCTGTTTAGTTTTTCTGTGAAGATGAACCCGTTTCCAACGAAATCTTCACAGAGGTCCACATATCCACTTGCAGAATCCAAAGATGGAGAGTTTCAAAACTGCTCCATCAACAGGATTGTTCACCTCTGTGAGTTGAATGCAGTCATCACAGGAAACATTCTGAGAATGCTTCTGTCTAGGTTTGATGTGAAGATATACCCGTTTCGAAGGAAGGCCACAAAGTGGTCCAAATATCCACTTGCAGATTCTACAAAAAGAGTGTTTGAAAGCTGAACTATGAAAGCAAGGTTCAACTCTGTGAGTTGAATGCAAACATCACAAAGAAGTTTCTCAGAATACTTCCGTGTAGTTCTGGGAAGTTTATCCCGTTTCCAACAAAATCCTCAGAGAGGTCCAAATATCCACTTACAGATTCTACAGAAAGTGTGTTTGGAAACTGCTCCATCTAAAGGAATGTTCAGCTCTGTTAGTTCAATCCAATGATCACTAAGAATTGTCTGTGAATGCTTCCGTTTGGTTTTTAGATGAAGTTATTTCCTTTACTACAGTAGGCCTCAAAGCAGTCCAAATCTCCAATCGCAGATTCTACAAAAAGATTGTTTACAACCTGCTCTATCTATAGGAATGTTCAACTCTGTGAGTCGAATGCAATCATCACAAAGTAGTTTCTGTGAATGCTTCCATCTAGTTTTTATGTGAAGATTTTCCTTTTCCACCACAGGCCTAAAAGCCCTCCAAATGTCCACTTGCAGATTCTAGAAAAAGAGGGTTTCAGAGCTGCTCTGTCAAGAGGAAAGTTCAATTCCTGAAGTGGAACACAAACATCACAAAGCAGTTTCTGGGAATGCTTCTGTTTAGTTTTTCTGTGAAGATGAACCCGTTTCCAACGAAATCTTCACAGAGGTCCACATATCCACTTGCAGAATCCAAAGAAAGAGAGTTTCAAAACTGCTCCATCAGCAGGATTGTTCACCTCTGTGAGTTGAATGCAGTCATCACAGGAAACATTCTGAGAATGCTTCTGTCTAGGTTTGATGTGAAGATATACCCGTTTCGAAGGAAGGCCAGAAAGTGGTCCAAATATCCACTTGCAGATTCTACAAAAAGAGTGTTTGAAAGCTGAACTATGAAAGCAAGGTTCAACTCTGTGAGTTGAATGCAAACATCACAAAGAAGTTTCTCAGAATGCTTCCGTGTAGTTCTGGGAAATTTAGCCCGTTTTCAACGAAATCCTCTGAGAGGTCCAAATATCCACTTGCAGATTCTACAGAAAGTGTGTTTGGAACCTGCTCCATCTAAAGGAATGTTCAGCTCTGTTAGTTCAATCCAATGATCACTAAGAATTGTCTGTGAATGCTTCCGTTTGGTTTTTAGATGAAGTTATTTCCTTTACTACAGTAGGCCTCAAAGCAGTCCAAATCTCCAATCGCAGATTCTACAAAAAGATTGTTTACAACCTGCTCTATCTATAGGAATGTTCAACTCTGTGAGTCGAATGCAATCATCACAAAGTAGTTTCTGAGAATGCTTCCATCTAGTTTTTATGTGAAGATTTTCCTTTTCCACCACAGGCCTCAAAGCCCTCCAAATGTCCACTTGCAGATTCTAGAAAAAGAGGGTTTCAGAGCTGCTCTGTCAAGAGGAAAGTTCAATTCTTGAAGTGGAACACAAACATCACAAAGCAGTTTCTGAGAATGCTTCTGTTTAGTTTTTCTGTGAAGATGAACCCGTTTCCAACGAAATCTTCACAGAGGTCCACATATCCACTTGCAGAATCCAAAGAAAGAGAGTTTCAAAACTGCTCCATCAGCAGGATTGTTCACCTCTGTGAGTTGAATGCAGTCATCACAGGAAACATTCTGAGAATGCTTCTGTCTAGGTTTGATGTGAAGATATACACGTTTCGAAGGAAGGCCACAAAGTGGTCCAAATATCCACTTGCAGATTCTACAAAAAGAGTGTTTGAAAGCTGAACTATGAAAGCAAGGTTCAACTCTGTGAGTTGAATGCAAACATCACAAAGAAGTTTCTCACAATGCTTCCGTGTAGTTCTGAGAAGTTTATCCCGTTTCCAACGAAATCCTCAGAGAAGTCCAAATATCCACTTGCAGATTCTACAGAAAGTGGGTTTGGAAACTGCTCCATCTAAAGGAATGTTCAGCTCTGTTAGTTCAATCCAATGATCACTAAGAATTGTCTGTGAATGCTTCCGTTTGGTTTTTAGATGAAGTTATTTCCTTTACTACAGTAGGCCTCAAAGCAGTCCAAATCTCCAATCGCAGATTCTACAAAAAGATTGTTTACAACCTGCTCTATCTATAGGAATGTTCACCTCTGTGAGTCGAATGCAATCATCACAAAGTAGTTTCTGAGAATGATTCCATCTAGTTTTTATGTGAAGATTTTCCTTTTCCACCACAGGCCTCAAAGCCCTCCAAATGTCCACTTGCCGATTCTAGAAAAAGAGGGTTTCAGAGCTGCTCTGTCAAGAGGAAAGTTCAATTCTTTAATTGGAACACAAACATCACAAAGCAGTTTCTGAGAATGCTTCTGTTTAGTTTTTCTGTGAAGATGAACCCGTTTCCAACGAAATCTTCACAGAGGTCCACATATCAACTTGCAGAATCCAAAGAAAGAGAGTTTCAAAACTGCTCCATCAACAGGATTGTTCACCTCTGTGAGTTGAATGCAGTCATCACAGGAAACATTCTGAGAATGCTTCTGTCTAGGTTTGATGTGAAGATATACCCGTTTCGAAGGAAGGCCACAAAGTGGTCCAAATATCCACTTGCAGATTCTACAAAAAGAGTGTTTGAAAGCTGAACTATGAAAGCAAGGTTCAACTCTGTGATTTGAATGCAAACATCACAAAGAAGTTTCTCACAATGCTTCCCTGTAGTTCTGGGAAGTTTATCCCGTTTCCAACGAAATCCTCAGAGAAGTCCAAATATCCACTTGCAGATTCTACAGAAAGTGTGTTTGGAAACTGCTCCATCTAAAGGAATGTTCAGCTCTGTTAGTTCAATCCAATGATCACTAAGAATTGTCTGTGAATGCTTCCGTTTGGTTTTTAGATGAAGTTATTTCCTTTACTACAGTAGGCCTCAAAGCAGTCCAAATCTCCAATCGCAGATTCTACAAAAAGATTGTTTACAACCTGCTCTATCTATAGGAGTGTTCAACTCTGTGAGTCGAATGCAATCATCACAAAGTAGTTTCTGAGAATGCTTCCATCTAGTTTTTATGTGAAGATTTTCCTTTTCCACCACAGGCCTCAAAGCCCTCCAAATGTCCACTTGCAGATTCTAGAATAAGAGGGTTTCAGAGCTGCTCTGTCAAGAGGAAAGTTCAATTCCTGAAGTGGAACACAAACATCACAAAGCAGTTTCTGAGAATGCTTCTGTTTAGTTTTTCTGTGAAGATGAACTCGTTTCCAACGAAATCTTCACAGAGGTCCACATATCCACTTGCAGAATCCTAAGAAAGGGAGTTTCAAAACTGCTCCATCAGCAGGATTGTTCACCTCTGTGAGTTGAATGCAGTCATCACAGGAAACATTCTGAGAATGCTTCTGTCTAGGTTTGATGTGAAGTTATACCCGTTTCGAAGGAAGGCCACAAAGTGGTCCAAATATCCACTTGCAGATTCTACAAAAAGAGTGTTTGAAAGCTGAACTATGAAAGCAAGGTTCAACTCTGTGAGTTGAATGCAAACATCACAAAGAAGTTTCTCAGAATGCTTCCGTGTAGTTCTGGGAAGTTTATCCCTTTTCCAACGAAATCCTCAGAGAAGTCCAAATATCCACTTGCAGATTCTACAGAAAGTGTGTTTGTAAACTGCTCTATCTAAAGGAATGTTCAGCTCTGTTTGTTCAATCCAATGATCACTAAGTATTGTCTGTGAATGCTTCCGTTTGGTTTTTAGATGAAGTTATTTCCTTTACTACAGTAGGCCTCAAAGCAGTCCAAATCTCCAATCGCAGATTCTACAAAAAGATTGTTTACAACCTGCTCTATCTATAGGAATGTTCAACTCTGTGAGTCGAATGCAATCATCACAAAGTAGTTTCTGAGAATGCTTCCATCTAGTTTTTATGTGAAGATTTTCCTTTTCCACCACAGGCCTCAAAGCCCTCCAAATGTCCACTTGCAGATTCTAGAAAAAGAGGGTTTCAGAGCTGCTCTGTCAAGAGGAAAGTTCAATTCTTGAAGTGGAACACAAACATCACAAAGAAGTTTCTGAGAATGCTCCTGTTTAGTTTTTCTGTGAAGATGAACCCGTTTCCAAGGAAATCTTCACAGAGGTCCACATATCCACTTGCAGAATCCAAAGAAAGGGAGTTTCAAAACTGCTCCATCAGCAGGATTGTTCACCTCTGTGAGTTGAATGCAGTCATCACAGGAAACATTCTGAGAATGCTTCTGTCTAGGTTTGATGTGAAGATATACCCGTTTCGAAGGAAGGCCACAAAGTGGTCCAAATATCCACTTGCAGATTCTACAAAAAGAGTGTTTGAAAGCTGAACTATGAAAGCAAGGTTCAACTCTGTGAGTTGAATGCAAACATCACAAAGAAGTTTCTCAGAATGCTTCCGTGTAGTTCTGGGAAGTTTATCCCGTTTCCAACGAAATCCTCAGAGAGGTCCAAATATCCACTTGCAGATTCTACAGAAAGTGTGTTTGGAAACTGCTCCATCTAAAGGAATGTTCAGCTCTGTTAGTTCAATCCAATGATCACTAAGAATTGTCTGTGAATGCTTCCGTTTGGTTTTTAGATGAAGTTATTTCCTTTACTACAGTAGGCCTCAAAGCAGTCCAAATCTCCAATCGCAGATTCTACAAAAAGATTGTTTACAGCCTGCTCTATCTATAGGAATGTTCAACTCTGTGAGTCGAATGCAATCATCACAAAGTAGTTTCTGAGAATGCTTCCATCTAGTTTTTATGTGAAGATTTTCCTTTTCCACCACAGGCCTCAAAGCCCTCCAAATGTCCACTTGCAGATTTTAGAATAAGAGGGTTTCAGAGCTGCTCTGTCGAGAGGAAAGTTCAATTCTTGAAGTGGAACACAAACATCACAAAGCAGTTTCTGAGAATGCTTCTGTTTAGTTTTTCTGTGAAGATGAACCCGTTTCCAACGAAATCTTCACAGAGGTCCACATATCCACTTGCAGAATCCAAAGAAAGAGAGTTTCAAAACTGCTCCATCAGCAGGATTGTTCACCTCTGTGAGTTGAATGCAGTCATCACAGGAAACATTCTGAGAATGCTTCTGTCTAGGTTTGATGTGAAGATATACCCGTTTCGAAGGAAGGCCACAAAGTGGTCCAAATATCCACTTGCAGATTCTACAAAAAGAGTGTTTGAAAGCTGAACTATGAAAGCAACGTTCAACTCTGTGAGTTGAATGCAAACATCACAAAGAAGTTTCTCACAATGCTTCCGTGTAGTTCTGGGAAGTTTATCCCGTTTCCAACGAAATCCTCAGAGAGGTCCAAATATCCACTTGCAGATTCTACAGAAAGTGTGTTTGGAAACTGCGCCATCTAAAGCAATGTTCAGCTCTGTTAGTTCAATGCAATGATCACTAAGAATTGTCTGTGAATGCTTCCGTTTCGTTTTTAGATGAAGTTATTTCCTTTACTACAGTAGGCCTCAAAGCAATCCAAATCTCCAATCGCAGATTCTACAAAAAGATTGTTTACAACCTGCTCTATCTATAGGAATGTTCAACTCTGTGAGTCGAATGCAATCATCACAAAGTAGTTTCTGAGAATGCTTCCATCTAGTTTTCATGTGAAGATTTTCCTTTTCCACCACAGGCCTCAAAGCCCTCCAAATGTCCACTTGCAGATTCTAGAAAAAGAGGGTTTCAGAGCTGCTCTGTCAAGAGGAAAGTTCAATTCTTGAAGTGGAACACAAACATCACAAAGCAGTTTCTGAGAATGCTCCTGTTTAGTTTTTCTGTGAAGATGAACCCGTTTCCAACGAAATCTTCACAGAGGTCCACATATCCACTTGCAGAATCCAAAGAAAGAGAGTTTCAAAACTGCTCCATCAGCAGGATTGTTCACCTCTGTGAGTTGAATGCAGTCATCACAGGAAACATTCTGAGAATGCTTCTGTCTAGGTTTGATGTGAAGATATACCCGTTTCGAAGGAAGGCCACAAAGTGGTCCAAATATCTACTTGCAGATTCTACAAAAAGAGTGTTTGAAAGCTGAACTATGAAAGCAAGGTTCAACTCTGTGAGTTGAATGCAAACATCACAAAGAAGTTTCTCAGAATGCTTCCGTGTAGTTCTGGGAAGTTTATCCCGTTTCCAACGAAATCCTCAGAGAGGACCAAATATCCACTTGCAGATTCTACAGAAAGTGTGTTTGGAAACTGCGCCATCTAAAGGAATGTTCAGCTCTGTTAGTTCAATCCAATGATCACTAAGAATTGTCTGTGAATGCTTCCGTTTGGTTTTTAAATGAAGTTATTTCCTTTACTACAGTAGGCCTCAAAGCAGTGCAAATCTCCAATCGCAGATTCTACAAAAAGATTGTTTACAACCTGCTCTATCTATAGGAATGTTCAACTCTGTGAGTCGAATGCAATCATCACAAAGTAGTTTCTGAGAATGCTTCCATCTAGTTTTTATGTGAAGATTTTCCTTTTCCACCACAGGCCTCAAAGCCCTCCAAATGTCCACTTGCAGATTCTAGAAAAAGAGGGTTTCAGAGCTGCTCTGTCAAGAGGAAAGTTCAATTCCTGAAGTGGAACACAAACCTCACAAAGCAGTTTGTGAGAATGCTCCTGTTTAGTTTTTCTGTGAAGATGAACCCGTTTCCAAAGAAATCTTCACAGAGGTCCACATATCCACTTGCAGAATCCAAAGAAAGGAAGTTTCAAAACTGCCCCATCAACAGGATGGTTCACCTCTGTGAGTTGAATGCAGTCATCACAGGAAACATTCTGAGAATGCTTCTGTCTAGGTTTGATGTGAAGATATACCCGTTTCGAAGGAAGGCCACAAAGTGGTCCAAATATCCACTTGCAGATTCTACAAAAAGAGTGTTTGAAAGCTGAACTATGAAAGCAAGGTTCAACCCTGTGAGTTGAATGCAAACATCACAAAGAAGTTTCTCAGAATGCTTCCGTGTAGTTCTGGGAAGTTTATCCCGTTTCCAACGAAATCCTCAGAGAAGTCCAAATATCCACTTGCAGATTCTACAGAAAGTGGGTTTGGAAACTGCTCCATCTAAAGGAATGTTCAGCTCTGTTAGTTCAATCCAATGATCACTAAGAATTCTCTGTGAATGCTTTCGTTTGGTTTTTAGATTAAGTTATTTCCTTTACTACAGTAGGCCTCAAATCAGTCCAAATCTCCAATCGCAGATTCTACAAAAAGATTGTTTACAACCTGCTCTATCTATAGGAATGTTCAACTCTGTGAGTCGAATGCAATCATCACAAAGTAGTTTCTGAGAATGCTTCCATCTAGTTTTTATGTGAAGATTTTCCTTTTCCACCACAGGCCTCAAAGCCCTCCAAATGTCCACTTGCAGATTCTAGAATAAGAGGGTTTCAGAGCTGCTCTGTCAAGAGGAAAGTTCAATTCCTGAAGTGGAACACAAACATCACAAAGCAGTTTCTGAGAATGCTTCTGTTTAGTTTTTCTGTGAAGATGAACCCGTTTCCAACCAAATCTTCACAGAGATCCACATATCCACTTGCAGAATCCAAAGAAAGAGAGTTTCAAATGTGCTCCATCAACAGGATTGTTCACCTCTGTGAGTTGAATGCAGTCATCACAGGAAACATTCTGAGAATGCTTCTGTCTAGGTTTGATGTGAAGATATACCCGTTTCGAAGGAAGGCCAGAAAGTGGTCCAAATATCCACTTGCAGATTCTACAAAAAGAGTGTTTGAAAGCTGAACTATGAAAGCAAGGTTCAACTCTGTGAGTTGAATGCAAACATCACAAAGAAGTTTCTCAGAATGCTTCCGTGTAGTTCTGGGAAGTTTAGCCCTTTTCCAACGAAATCCTCAGAGAGGTCCAAATATCCACTTGCAGATTCTACAGAAAGTGTGTTTGGAAACTGTGCCATCTAAAGGAATGTTCAGCTCTGTTAGTTCAATCCAATGATCACTAAGAATTTTCTGTGAATGCTTCCGTTTGGTTTTTAGATGAAGTTATTTCCTTTACTACAGTAGGCCTCAAAGCAGTCCAAATCTGCAATCGCAGATTCTACAAAAAGATTGTTTACAACCTGCTCTATCTATAGGAATGTTCAACTCTGTGAGTCGAATGCAATCATCACAAAGTAGTTTCTGAGAATGCTTCCATCTAGTTTTTATGTGAAGATTTTCCTTTTCCACCACAGGCCTCAAAGCCCTCCAAATGTCCACTTGCAGATTCTAGAAAAAGAGGGTTTCAGAGCTGCTCTGTCAAGAGGAAAGTTCAATTCTTGAAGTGGAACACAAACATCACAAAGTAGCTTCTGAGAATGCTTCTGTTTAGTTTTTCTGTGAAGATGAACCCGTTTCCAACGAAATCTTCACAGAGGTCCACATATCCACTTGCAGAATCCAAAGAAAGAGAGTTTCAAAACTGCTCCATCAGCAGGATTGTTCACCTCTGTGAGTTGAATGCAGTCATCACAGGAAACATTCTGAGAATGCTTCTGTCTAGGTTTGATGTGAAGATATACCCGTTTCGAAGGAAGGCCACAAAGTCGTCCAAATATCCACTTGCAGATTCTACAAAAAGAGTGTTTGAAAGCTGAACTATGAAAGCAAGGTTCAAGTCTGTGAGTTGAATGCAAACATCACAAAGAAGTTTCTCAGAATGCTTCCGTGTAGTTCTGGGAAGTTTATCCCGTTTCCAACGAAATCCTCAGAGAAGTCCAAATATCCACTTGCAGATTCTACAGAAAGTGTGTTTGGAAACTGCTCCATCTAAAGGAATGTTCAGCTCTGTTAGTTCAATCCAATGATCACTAAGAATTATCTGTGAATGCTTCCGTTTGGTTTTTAGATGAAGTTATTTCCTTTACTACAGTAGGCCTCAAAGCAGTCCAAATCTCCAATCGCAGATTCTACAAAAAGATTGTTTTCAACCTGCTCTATCTATAGGAATGTTCAACTCTGTGAGTCGAATGCAATCATCACAAAGTAGTTTCTGAGAATGCTTCCATCTAGTTTTTATGTGAAGATTTTCCTTTTCCACCACAGGCCTCAAAGCCCTCCAAATGTCCACTTGCAGATTCTAGAAAAAGAGGGTTTCAGAGCTGCTCTGTCAAGAGGAAAGTTCAATTCCTGAAGTGGAACACAAACATCACAAAGCAGTTTCTGAGAATGCTTCTGTTTAGTTTTTCTGTGAAGATGAACCCGTTTCCAACGAAATCTTCACAGAGGTCCACATATCCACTTGCAGAATCCAAAGAAAGAGAGTTTCAAAACTGCTCCATCAACAGGATTGTTCACCTCTGTGAGTTGAATGCAGTCATCACAGGAAACATTCTGAGAATGCTTCTGTCTAGGTTTGATGTGAAGATATACCCGTTTCGAAGGAAGGCCACAAAGTGGTCCAAATATACACTTGCAGATTCTACAAAAAGAGTGTTTGAAAGCTGAACTATGAAAGCAAGGTTCAACTCTGTGAGTTGAATGCAAACATCACAAAGAAGTTTCTCAGAATGCTTCCGTGTAGTTCTGGGAAGTTTATCCCATTTCCAACGAAATCCTCAGAGAAGTCCAAATATCCACTTGCAGATTCTGCAGAAAGTGTGTTTGGAAACTGCTCCATCTAAAGGAATGTTCAGCTCTGTTAGTTCAATCCAATGATCACTAAGAATTGTCTGTGAAGGCTTCCGTTTGGTTTTTAGATGAAGTTATTTCCTTTACTACAGTAGGCCTCAAAGCAGTCCAAATCTCCAATCGCAGATTCTACAAAAAGATTGTTTACAACCTGCTCTATGTATAGGAATGTTCAACTCTGTGAGTCGAATGCAATCATCACAAAGTAGTTTCTGAGAATGCTTCCATCTAGTTTTTATGTGAAGATTTTCCTTTTCCACCACAGGCCTCAAAGCCCTCCAAATGTCCACTTGCAGATTCTAGAATAAGAGGGTTTCAGAGCTGCTCTGTCAAGAGGAAAGTTCAATTCCTGAAGTGGAACACAAACATCACAAAGCAGTTTCTGAGAATGCTCCTGTTTAGTTTTTCTGTGAAGATGAACCCGTTTCCAACGAAATCTTCACAGAGGTCCACATATCCACTTGCAGAATCCAAAGAAAGAGAGTTTCAAAACTGCTCCATCAACAGGATTGTTCACCTCTGTGAGTTGAATGCAGTCATCACAGGAAACATTCTGAGAATGTTTCTGTCTAGGTTTGATGTGAAGATATACCCGTTTCGAAGGAAGGCCACAAAGTGGTCCAAATATCCACTTGCAGATTCTACAAAAAGAGTGTTTGAAAGCTGAACTATGAAAGCAAGGTTCAACTCTGTGAGTTGAATGCAAACATCACAAAGAAGTTTCTCAGAATGCTTCCGTGTAGTTCTGGGAAGTTTATCCCGTTTCCAACGAAATCCTCAGAGAAGTCCAAATATCCACTTGCAGATTCTACAGAAAGTGTGTTTGGAAACTGCTCCATCTAAAGGAATGTTCAGCTCTGTTAGTTCAATCCAATGATCACTAAGAATTGTCTGTGAATGCTTCCGTTTGGTTTTTAGATGAAGTTATTTCCTTTACTACAGTAGGCCTCAAAGGAGTCCAAATCTCCAATCGCAGATTCTACAAAAAGATTGTTTACAACCTGCTCTATCTATAGGAATGTTAAACTCTGTGGGTCGAATGCAATCATCACAAAGTAGTTTCTGAGAATGCTTCCATCTAGTTCTTATGTGAAGATTTTCCTTTTCCACCACAGGCCTCGAAGCCCTCCAAATGTCCACTTGCAGATTCTAGAAAAAGAGGGTTTCAGAGCTGCTCTGTCAAGAGGAAAGTTCAATTCTTGAAGTGGAACACAAACAACACAAAGCAGTTTCTGAGAATGCTCCTGTTTAGTTTTTTCTGTGAAGATGAACCCGTTTCCAACGAAATCTTCACAGAGGTCCACATATCCACTTGCAGAATCCAAAGAAAGAGAGTTTCAAAACTGCTCCATCAGCAGGATTGTTCACCTCTGTGAGTTGAATGCAGTCATCACAGGAAACATTCTGAGAATGCTTCTGTCTAGGTTTGATGTGAAGATATACCCGTTTCGAAGGAAGGCCACAAAGTGGTCCAAATATCCACTTGCAGATTCTACAAAAAGAGTGTTTGAAAGCTGAACTAAGAAAGCAAGGTTCAACTCTGTGAGTTGAATGCAAACATCACAAAGAAGTTTCTCAGAATGCTTCCGTGTAGTTCTGGGAAGTTTATCCCGTTTCCAACGAAATCCTCAGAGAAGTCCAAATATCCACTTGCAGATTCTACACAAAGTGTGTTTGGAAACTGCGCCATCTAAAGGAATGTTCAGCTCTGTTAGTTCAATCCAATGATCACTAAGAATTGTCTGTGAATGCTTCCGTTTGGTTTTTAGATGAAGTTATTTCCTTTACTATAGTAGGCCTCAAAGCAGTCCAAATCTCCAATCGCAGATTCTACAAAAAGATTGTTTACAACCTGCTCTATCTATAGGAATGTTCAACTCTGTGAGTCGAATGCAATCATCACAAAGTAGTTTCTGAGAATGCTTCCATCTAGTTTTTATGGGAAGATTTTCCTTTTCCACCACAGGCCTCAAAGCCCTCCAAATGTCCACTTGCAGATTCTAGAAAAAGAGGGTTTCAGAGCTGCTCTGTCAAGAGGAAAGTTCAATTCTTGAAGTGGAACACAAACATCACAAAGCAGTTTCTGAGAATGCTTCTGTTTAGTTTTTCTGTGAAGATGAACCCCTTTCCAACGAAATCTTCACAGAGTTCCACATATCTACTTGCAGAATCCAGAGAAAGAGAGTTTCAATAGTGCTCCATCAACAGGATTGTTCACCTCTGTGAGTTGAATGCAGTCATCACAGGAAACATTCTGAGAATGCTTCTGTCTAGGTTTGATGTGAAGATATACCCGTTTCGAAGGAAGGCCACAAAGTGGTCCAAATATCCACTTGCAGATTCTACAAAAAGAGTGTTTGAAAGCTGAACTATGAAAGCAAGGTTCAACTCTGTGAGTTGAATGCAAGCATCACAAAGAAGTTTCTCACAATGCTTCCGTGTAGTTCTGGGAAGTTTATCCCGTTTCCAACGAAATCCTCAGAGAGGTCCAAATATCCACTTGCAGATTCTACAGAAAGTGTGTTTGGAAACTGCGCCATCTAAAGGAATGTTCAGCTCTGTTAGTTCAATGCAATGATCACTAAGAATTGTCTGTGAATGCTTCCGTTTGGTTTTTAGATGAAGTTATTTCCTTTACTGCAGTAGGCCTCAAAGCAGTCCAAATCTCCAATCGCAGATTCTACAAAAAGATTGTTTACAACCTGCTCTATCTATAGGAATGTTCAACTCTGTGAGTCGAATGCAATCATCACAAAGTAGTTTCTGAGAATGCTTCCATAAAGTTTTTATATGAAGATTTTCCTTTTCCACCACAGCCCTCAAAGCCCTCCAAATGTCCACTTGCAGATTCTAGAAAAAGAGGGTTTCAGAGCTGCTCTGTCAAGAGGAAATTTCAATTCTTTAAGTGGAACACAAACATCACAAAGCAGTTTCTGAGAATGCTCCTGTTTAGTTTTTCTATGAAGATGAACCCGTTTCCAACGAAATCTTCACAGAGGTCCACATATCCACTTGCAGAATCCAAAGAAAGAGAGTTTCAAAACTGCTCCATCAGCAGGATTGTTCACCTCTGTGAGTTGAATGCAGTCATCACAGGAAACATTCTGAGAATGCTTCTGTCTAGGTTTGATGTGAAGATATACCCGTTTCGAAGGAAGGCCACAAAGTGGTTCAAATATCCACTTGCAGATTCTACAAAAAGAGTGTTTGAAAGCTGAACTATGAAAGCAAGGTTCAACTCTGTGAGTTGAATGCAAACATCACAAAGAAGTTTCTCAGAATGGTTCCGTGTAGTTCTGAGAAGTTTATCCCGTTTCCAACGAAATCCTCAGAGAGGTCCAAATATCCACTTGCAGATTCTACAGAAAGTGTGTTTGGAAACTGCGCCATCTAAAGGAATGTTCAGATCTGTTAGTTCAATGCAATGATCACTAAGAATTGTCTGTGAATCCTTCCGTTTGGTTTTTATATGAAGTAATTTCCTTTACTACAGTAGGCCTCAAAGCAGTCCAAATCTCCAATCGCAGATTCTACAAAAAGATTGTTTACAACCTGCTCTATCTATAGGAATGTTCAACTCTGTGAGTCGAATGCAATCATCACAAAGAAGTTTCTGAGAATGCTTCCATCTAGTTTTTATGTGAAGATTTTCCTTTTCCACCACAGGCCTCAAAGCCCTCCAAATGTCCACTTGCAGATTCTAGAAAAAGAGGGTTTCAGAGCTGCTCTGTCAAGAGGAAAGTTCAATTCTTGAAGTGGAACACAAACATCACAAAGCAGTTTCTGAGAATGCTCCTGTTTAGTTTTTCTGTGAAGATGAACCCGTTTCCAACGAAATCTTCACAGAGGTCCACATATCCACTTGCAGAATCCAAAGAAAGAGAGTTTCAAAACTGCTCCATCAACAGGATTGTTCACCTCTGTGAGTTGAATGCAGTCATCACAGGAAAACATTCTGAGAATGCTTCTGTCTAGGTTTGATGTGAAGATATACCCGTTTCGAAGGAAGGCCACAAAGTGGTCCAAATATCCACTTGCAGATTCTACAAAAAGAGTGTTTGAAAGCTGAACTATGAAAGCAAGGTTCAACTCTGTGAGTTGAATGCAAACATCACAAAGAAGTTTCTCAGAATGCTTCCGTGTAGTTCTGGGAAGTTTATCCCGTTTCCAACGAAATCCTCAGAGAGGTCCAAATATCCACTTGCAGATTCTACAGAAAGTGTGTTTGGAAACTGCGCCATCTAAAGGAATGTTCAGCTCTGTTAGTTCAATGCAATGATCACTAAGAATTGTCTGTGAATGCTTCCGTTTGGTTTTTAGATTAAGTTATTTCCTTTACTACAGTAGGCCTCAAAGCAGTCCAAATCTCCAATCGCAGATTCTACAAAAAGATTGTTTACAACCTGCTCTATCTATACGAATGTTCAACTCTGTGAGTCGAATGCAATCATCACAAAGTAGTTTCTGAGAATGCTTCCATCTAGTTTTATGTGAAGATTTTCCTTTTCCACCACAGGCCTCAAAGCCCTCCAAATGTCCACTTGCAGATTCTAGAAAAAGAGGGTTTCAGAGCTGCTCTGTCAAGAGGAAAGTTCAATTCTTGAAGTGGAACACAAACATCACAAAGCAGTTTCTGAGAATGCTCCTGTTTAGTTTTTCTGTGAAGATGAACCCGTTTCCAACGAAATCTTCACAGAGGTCCACATATCCACTTGCAGAATCCAAAGAAAGAGAGTTTCAAAACTGCTCCATCAACAGGATTGTTCACCTCTGTGAGTTGAATGCAGTCATCACAGGAAACATTCTGAGAATGCTTCTGTCTAGGTTTGATGTGAAGATATACCCGTTTCGAAGGAAGGCCACAAAGTGGTCCAAATATCCACTTGCAGATTCTACAAAAAGAGTGTTTGAAAGCTGAACTATGAAAGCAAGGTTCAACTCTGTGAGTTGAATGCAAACATCACAAAGAAGTTTCTCAGAATGCTTCCGTGTAGTTCTGGGAAGTTTATCCCGTTTCCAACGAAATCCTCAGAGAGGTCCAAATATCCACTTGCATATTTTACAGAAAGTGTGTTTGGAAACTGCGCCATCTAAAGGAATGTTCAGCTCAGTTAGTTCAATCCAATGATCACTAAGAATTGTCTGTGAATGCTTCCGTTTGGTTTTTAGATGAAGTTATTTCCTTTACTACAGTAGGCCTCAAAGCAGTCCAAATCTCCAATCGCAGATTCTACAAAAAGATTGTTTTCAACCTGCTCTATCTATAGTAATGTTCAACTCTGTGAGTCGAATGCAATCATCACAAAGTAGTTTCTGAGAATGCTTCCATCTAGTTTTAATGTGAAGATTTCCTTTTCCACCACAGGACCCAAAACCCTCCAAATGTCCGCTTGCAGATTCTAGAAAAAGAGGGTTTCAGAGCTGCTCTATCAAGAGGAAAGTTCAATTCCTGAAGTGGAACACAAACATCACAAAGCAGTTTCTGAGAATGCTCCTGTTTAGTTTTTCGGTGAAGATGAACCCGTTTCCAACGAAATCTTCACAGAGGTCCACATATCCACTTGCAGAATCCAAAGAAAGAGAGTTTCAAAACTGCTCCATCAACAGGATTGTTCACCTCTGTGAGTTGAATGCAGTCATCACAGGAAACATTCTGAGAATGCTTCTGTCTAGGTTTGATGTGAAGATATACCCGTTTCGAAGGAAGGCCAGAAAGTGGTCCAAATATCCACTTGCAGATTCTACAAAAAGAGTGTTTGAAAGCTGAACTATGAAAGCAAGGTTCAACTCTGTGAGTTGAATGCAAACATCACAAAGAAGTTTCTCAGAATGCTTCCGTGTAGTTCTGGGAAGTTTATCCCGTTTCCAACGAAATCCTCAGAGAAGTCCAAATATCCACTTGCAGATTCTACAGAAAGTGGGTTTGGAAACTGCTCCATCTAAAGGAATGTTCAGCTCTGTTAGTTCAATCCAATGATCACTAAGAATTGTCTGTGAATGCTTCCGTTTGGTTTTTAGATGAAGTTATTTCCTTTACTACAGTAGGCCTCAAAGCAGTCCAAATCTCCAATCGCAGATTCTACAAAAAGATTGTTTACAACCTGCTCTATCTATAGGAATGTTCAACTCTGTGAGTCGAATGCAATCATCACAAAGTAGTTTCTGAGAATGCTTCCATCTAGTTTTTATGTGAAGATTTTCCTTTTACACCACAGGCCTCAAAGCCCTCCAAATGTCAACTTGCAGATTCTAGAATAAGAGGGTTTCAGAGCTGCTCTGTCAAGAGGAAAGTTCAATTCCTGAAGTGGAACACAAACATCACAAAGCAGTTTCTGAGAATGCTTCTGTTTAGTTTTTCTGTGAAGATGAACCCGTTTCCAACGAAATCTTCACAGAGGTCCACATATCCACTTGCAGAATCCAAAGAAAGAGAGTTTGAAAACTGCTCCATCAACAGGATTGTTCAACTCTGTGAGTTGAATGCAGTCATCACAGGAAACATTCTGAGAATGCTTCTGTCTAGGTTTGATGTGAAGATATACCCGTTTCGAAGGAAGGCCACAAAGTGGTCCAAATATCCACTTGCAGATTCTACAAAAAGAGTGTTTGAAAGCTGAACTATGAAAGCAAGGTTCAACTCTGTGAGTTGAATGCAAACATCACAGAGAAGTTTCTCACAATGCTTCCGTGTAGTTCTGGGAAGTATATCCCGTTTCCAACGAAATCCTCAGAGAGGTCCAAATATCCACTTGCAGATTCTACAGAAAGTGTGTTTGGAAACTGCGCCATCTAAGGGAATGTTCAGCTCTGTTAGTTCAATCCAATGATCACTAAGAATTGTTTGTGAATGCTTCCGTTTGGTTTTTAGATGAAGTTATTTCCTTTACTACAGTAGGCCTCAAAGCAGTCCAAATCTCCAATCGCAGATTCTACAAAAAGATTGTTTACAACCTGCTCTATGTATAGGAATGTTCAACTCTGTGAGTCGAATGCAATCATCACAAAGTAGTTTCTGAGAATGCTTCCATCCAGTTTTTTAGTGAAGATTTTCCTTTTCCACCACAGGCCTCAAAGCCCTCCCAATGTCCACTTGCAGATTCTAGAAAAAGAGGGTTTCAGAGCTGCTCTGTCAAGAAGAAATTTCAATTCTTGAAGTGGAACACAAACGTCGCAAAGCAGTTTCTGAGAATGTTTCTGTTTAGTTTTTCTGTGAAGATGAACCCGTTTCCAACGAAATCTTCACAGAGGTCCACATATCCACTTGCAGAATCCAAAGAAAGAGAGTTTCAAAACTGCTCCATCAGCAGGATTGTTCACCTCTGTGAGTTGAATGCAGTCATCACAGGAAACATTCTGAGAATGCTTCTGTCTAGGTTTGATGTGAAGATATACCCGTTTCGAAGGAAGGCCACAAAGTGGTCCAAATATCCACTTGCAGATTCTACAAAAAGAGTGTTTGAAAGCTGAACTATGAAAGCAAGTTTCAACTCTGTGAGTTGAATGCAAACATCACAAAGAAGTTTCTCAGCATGCTTCCGTGTAGTTCTGGGAAGTTTATCCCGTTTCCAACGAAATCCTCAGAGAAGTCCAAATATCCACTTGCAGATTCTACAGAAAGTGGGTTTGGAAACTGCTCCATCTAAAGGAATGTTCAGCTCTGTTAGTTCAATCCAATGATCACTAAGAATTGTCTGTGAATGCTTCCGTTTGGTTTTTAGGTGAAGTTATCTCCTTTACTACAGTAGGCCTCAAAGCAGTCCAAATCTCCAATCGCAGATTCTACAAAAAGATTGTTTACAACCTTCTCTATCTATAGGAATGTTCAACTCTGTGAGTCGAATGCAATCATCACAAAGTAGTTTCTGAGAATGCTTCCATCTAGTTTTTATGGGAAGATTTTCCTTTTCCACCACAGGCCTCAAAGCCCTCCAAATGTCCACTTGCAGATTCTAGAAAAAGAGGGTTTCAGAGCTGCTCTGTCAAGAGGAAAGTTCAATTCTTGAAGTGGAACACAAACATCACAAAGCAGTTTCTGAGAATGCTTCTGTTTAGTTTTTCTGTGAAGATGAACCCGTTTCCAACGAAATCTTCACAGAGGTCCACATATCCACTTGCAGAATCCAAAGAAAGAGAGTTTCAAAACTGCTCCATCAGCAGGATTGTTCACCTCTGTGAGTTGAATGCAGTCATCACAGGAAACATTCTGAGAATGCTTCTGTCTAGGTTTGATGTGAAGATGTACCCGTTTCAAAGGAAGGCCACAAAGTGGTCCAAATATCCACTTGCAGATTCTACAAAAAGAGTGTTTGAAAGCTGAACTATGAAAGCAAGGTTCAACTCTGTGAGTTGAATGCAAACATCAGAAATATGATTCTCACAATGCTTCCGTGTAGTTCTGGGAAGTTTATCCCGTTTCCAACGAAATCCTCAGAGAAGTCCAAATATCCACTTGCAGATTCTACAGAAAGTGTGTTTGGAAACTGCTCCATCTAAAGGAATGTTCAGCTCTGTTAGTTCAATGCAATGATCACTAAGAATTGTCTGTGAATGCTTCCGTTTGGTTTTTAGATGAAGTTATTTCCTTTACTACAGTAGGCCTCAAAGCAGTCCAAATCTCCAATCGCAGATTCTACAAAAAGATTGTTTACAACCTGCTCTATGTATAGGAATGTTCAACTCTGTGAGTCGAATGCAATCATCACAAAGTAGTTTCTGAGAATGCTTCCATCTAGTTTTTATGTGAAGATTTTCCTTTTCCACCACAGGCCTCAAAGCCCTCCAAATGTCCACTTGCAGATTCTAGAAAAAGAGGGTTTCAGAGCTGCTCTGTCAAGAGGAAAGTTCAATTCTTGAAGTGGAACACAAACATCACAAAGCAGTTTCTGAGAATGCTCCTGTTTATTTTTTCTGTGAAGATGAACCCGTTTCCAACGAAATCTTCACAGAGGTCCACATATCAACTTGCAGAATCCAAAGAAAGAGAGTTTCAAAACTGCTCCATCAACAGGATTGTTCACCTCTGTGAGTTGAATGCAGTCATCACAGGAAACATTCTGAGAATGCTTCTGTCTAGGTTTGATGTGAAGATATACCCGTTTCGAAGGAAGGCCACAAAGTGGTCCAAATATCCACTTGCAGATTCTACAAAAAGAGTGTTTGAAAGCTGAACTATGAAAGCAAGTTTCAACTCTGTGAGTTGAATGCAAACATCACAAAGAAGTTTCTCAGAATACTTCCGTGTAGTTCTGGGAAATTTAGCCCGTTTCCAACGAAATCCTCAGAGAGGTCCAAATATCCACTTGCAGATTCTACAGAAAGTGTGTTTGGAAACTGCTCCATCTAAAGGAATGTTCAGCTCTGTTAGTTCAATCCAATGATCACTAAGAATTGTCTGTGAATGCTTCCGTTTGGTTTTTAGATGAAGTTATTTCCTTTACTACAGTAGGCCTCAAAGCAGTCCAAATCTCCAATCGCAGATTCTACAAAAAGATTGTTTACAACCTGCTCTATCTATAGGAATGTTCAACTCTGTGAGTCGAAAGCCATCATCACAAAGTAGTTTCTGAGAATGCTTCCATCTAGTTTTTATGTGAAGATTTTCCTTTTCCACCACAGGCCTCAAAGCCCTCCAAATGTCCACTTGCAGATTCTAGAAAAAGAGGGTTTCAGAGCTGCTCTGTCAAGAGGAAAGTTCAATTCTTGAAGTGGAACACAAACATCACAAAGTAGTTTCTGAGAATGCTCCTGTTTAGTTTTTCTGTGAAGATGAACCCGTTTCCAACGAAATCTTCACAGAGGTCCACATATCCACATGCAGAATCTAAAGAAAGAGAGTTTCAAAACTGCTCCATCAACAGGATTGTTCACCTCTGTGAGTTGAATGCAGCCATCACAGGAAATATTCTGAGAATGCTTCTGTCTATGTTTGATGTGAAGATATACCCGTTTCGAAGGAAGGCCACAAAGTGGTCCAAATATCCACTTGCAGATTCTACAAAAAGAGTGTTTGAAAGCTGAACTATGAAAGCAAGGTTCAACTCTGTGAGTTGAATGCAAACATCACAAAGAAGTTTCTCAGAATGCTTCCGTGTAGTTCTGGGAAGTTTATCCCGTTTCCAACGAAATCCTCAGAGAGGTCCAAATATCCACTTGCAGATTCTACAGAAAGTGTGTTTGGAAACTGCGCCATCTAAAGGAATGTTCAGCTCTGTTAGTTCAATCCAATGATCACTAAGAATTGTCTGTGAATGCTCCGTTTTGTTTTTAGATGAAGTTATTTCCTTTACTACAGTAGGCCTCAAAGCAGTCCAAATCTCCAATCGCAGATTCTACAAAAAGATTGTTTACAACCTGCTCTATCTATAGGAATGTTCAACTCTGTGAGTCGAATGCAATCATCACAAAGTAGTTTCTGAGAATGCTCTCCATCTAGTTTTTATGTGAAGATTTTCCTTTTCCACCACAGGCCTCAAAGCCCTCCAAATGTCCACTTGCAGATTCTAGAAAAAGAGGGTTTCAGAGCTGCTCTGTCAAGAGGAAAGTTCAATTCCTGAAGTGGAACACAAACATCACAAAGCAGTTTCTGAGAATGCTTCTGTTTAGTTTTTCTGTGAAGATGAACCCGTTTCCAACGAAATCTTCACAGAGGTCCACATATCCACTTGCAGAATCCAAAGAAAGAGAGTTTCAAAACTGCTCCATCAGCAGGATTGTTCACCTCTGTGAGTTGAATGCAGTCATCACAGGAAACATTCTGAGAATGCTTCTGTCTAGGTTTGATGTGAAGATATACCCGTTTCGAAGGAAGGCCACAAAGTGGTCCAAATATCCACTTGCAGATTCTACAAAAAGAGTGTTTGAAAGCTGAACTATGAAAGCAAGGTTCAACTCTGTGAGTTGAATGCAAACATCACAAAGAAGTTTCTCACAATGCTTCCGTGTAGTTCTGGGAAGTTTATCCCGTTTCCAACGAAATCCTCAGAGGGGTCCAAATATCCACTTGCAGATTCTACAGAAATTGTGTTTGGAAACTGCGTCATCTAAAGGAATGTTCAGCTCTGTTAGTTCAATGCAATGATCACTAAGAATTGTCTGTGAATGCTTCCGTTTGGTTTTTAGATGAAGTTATTTCCTTTACTACAGTAGGCCTCAAAGCAGTCCAAATCTCCAATCGCAGATTCTACAAAAACATTGTTTACAACCTGCTCTATCTATAGTAATGTTCAACTCTGTGAGTCGAATGCAATCATCACAAAGTAGTTTCTGAGAATGCTTCCATCTAGTTATTATGTGAAGATTTTCCTTTTCCACCACAGGCCTCAAAGCCCTCCAAATGTCCACTTGCAGATTCTAGAAAAAGAGGGTTTCAGAGCTGCTCTTTCAAGAGGAAAGTTCAATTCCTGAAGTGGAACACAAACATCACAAAGCAGTTTCTGAGAATGCTTCTGTTTAGTTTTTCTGTGAAGATGAACCCGTTTCCAACGAAATCTTCACAGAGGTCCACATATCCACTTGCAGAATCCAAAGAAAGAGAGTTTCAAAACTGCTCCATCAGCAGGATTGTTCACCTCTGTGAGTTGAATGCAGTCATCACAGGAAACATTCTGAGAATGCTTCTGTCTAGGTTTGATGTGAAGATATACCCGTTTCGAAGGAAGGCCACAAAGTGGTCCAAATATCCACTTGCAGATTCTACAAAAAGAGTGTTTGAAAGCTGAACTATGAAAGCAAGGTTCAACTCTGTGAGTTGAATGCAAACATCACAAAGAAGTTTCTCACAATGCTTCCGTGTAGTTCTGGGAAGTTTATCCAGTTTCCAACGAAATCCTCAGAGAAGTCCAAATATCCACTTGCAGATTCTACAGAAAGTGTGTTTGGAAAATGCTCCATCTAAAGGAATGTTCAGCTCTGTTAGTTCAATGCAATGATCACTAAGAATTGTCTGTGAATGCTTCCGTTTGGTTTTTAGATGAAGTTATTTCCTTTACTACAGTAGGCCTCAAAGCAGTCCAAATCTCCAATCGCAGATTCTACAAAAAGATTGTTTACAACCTGCTCTATGTATAGGAATGTTCAACTCTGTGAGTCGAATGCAATCATCACAAAGTAGTTTCTGAGAATGCTTCCATCTAGTTTTTATGTGAAGATTTTCCTTTTCCACCACAGGCCTCAAAGCCCTCCAAATGTCCACTTGCAGATTCTAGAAAAAGAGGGTTTCAGAGCTGCTCTGTCAAGAGGAAAGTTCAACTCTTGAAGTGGAACACAAACATGATAATGCAGTTTCTGAGAATGCTTCTGTTTAGTTTTTCTGTGAAGATGAACCCGTTTCCAACGAAATCTTCACAGAGGTCCACATATCCACTTGCAGAATCCAAAGAAAGAGAGTTTCAAAACTTCTCCATCAGCAGGATTGTTCACCTCTGTGAGTTGAATGCAGTCATCACAGGAAACATTCTGAGAATGCTTCTGTCTAGGTTTGATGTGAAGATATACCCGTTTCGAAGGAAGGCCACAAAGTGGTCCAAATATCCACTTGCAGATTCTACAAAAAGAGTGTTTGAAAGCTGAACTATGAAAGCAAGGTTCAACTCTGTGAGTTGAATGCAAACATCACAAAGAAGTTTCTCAGAATGCTTCCGTGTAGTTCTGGGAAGTTTATCCCGTTTCCAACGAAATCCTCAGAGAAGTCCAAATATCCACTTGCAGATTCTACAGAAAGTGGGTTTGGAAACTGCTCCATCTAAAGGAATGTTCAGCTCTGTTAGTTCAATCCAATGATCACTAAGAATTGTCTGTGAATGCTTCCGTTTGGTTTTTAGATGAAGTTATTTCCTTTACTACAGTAGGCCTCAAAGCAGTCCAAATCTCCAATCGCAGATTCTACAAAAAGATTGTTTACAACCTGCTCTATCTATAGGAATGTTCAACTCTGTGAGTCGAATGCAATCATCACAAAGTAGTTTCTGAGAATGCTTCCATCTAGTTTTTATGGGAAGATTTTCCTTTTCCACCACAGGCCTCAAAGCCCTCCAAATGTCCACTTGCAGATTCTAGAAAAAGAGGGTTTCAGAGCTGCTCTGTCAAGAGGAAAGTTCAATTCTTGAAGTGGAACACAAACATCACAAAGCAGTTTCTGAGAATGCTTCTGTTTAATTTTTCTGTGAAGATGAACCCGTTTCCAACGAAATCTTCACAGAGGTCCACATATCCACTTGCAGAATGCAAAGAAAGAGAGTTTCAAAACTGCTCCATCAACAGGATTGTTCATCTCTATGAGTTGAATGCAGTCATCACAGGAAACATTCTGAGAATGCTTCTGTCTAGGTTTGATGTGAAGATATACCCGTTTGGAAGGAAGGCCACAAAGTGGTCCAAATATCCACTTGCAGATTCTACAAAAAGAGTGTTTGAAAGCTGAACTATGAAAGCAAGGTTCAACTCTGTGAGTTGAATGCAAACATCACAAAGAAGTTTCTCAGAATACTTCCGTGTAGTTCTGGGAAGTTTATCCCGTTTCCAACGAAATCCTCAGAGAGGTCCAAATATCCACTTGCAGATTCTACAGAAAGTGGGTTTGGAAACTGCGCCATCTAAAGCAATGTTCAGCTCTGTTAGTTCAATGCAATGATCACTAAGAATTGTCTGTGAATGCTTCCGTTTGATTTTTAGATGAAGTTATTTCCTTTACTACAGTAGGCCTCAAAGCAGTCCAAATCTCCAATCGCAGATTCTACAAAAAGATTGTTTACAACCTGCTCTATCTATAGGAATGTTCAACTCTGTGAGTCGAATGCAATCATCACAAAGTAGTTTCTTAGAATGCTTCCATCTAGTTTTTATGTGAAGATTTTCCTTTTCCACCACAGGCCTCAAAGCCCTCCAAATGTCCACTTGCAGATTCTAGAAAAAGAGGGTTTCAGAGCTGCTCTGTCAAGAGGAAAGTTCAATTCTTGAAGTGGAACAGAAACATCACAAAGCAGTTTCTGGGAATGCTTCTGTTTAGTTTTTCTGTGAAAATGAACCCGTTTCCAACGAAATCTTCACAGAGGTCCACATATCCACTTGCAGAATCCAAAGAAAGAGAGATTCAAAAGTGCTCCATCAACAGGATTGTTCACCTCTGTGAGTTGAATGCAGTCATCACATGAAACATTCTGAGAATGCTTCTGTCTAGGTTTGATGTGAAGATATACCCGTTTCGAAGGAAGGCCACAAAGTGGTCCAAATATCCACTTGCAGATTCTACAAAAAGAGTATTTGAAAGCTGAACTATGAAAGCAAGGTTCAACTCTGTGAGTTGAATGCAAACATCACAAAGAAGTTTCTCAGAATGCTTCCGTGTATTTCTGGGAAGTTTATCCCGTTTCCAACGAAATCCTCAGAGAGGTCCAAATATCCACTTGCGGATTCTACAGAAAGTGTGTTTGGAAACTGCTCCATCTAAAGGAATGTTCAGCTCTGTTAGTTCAATGCAATGATCACAAAGAATTGTCTGTGAATGCTTCCGTTTGGTTTTTAGATGAAGTTATTTCCTTTACTACAGTATGCCTCAAAGCAGTCCAAATCTCCAATCGCAGATTCTACAAAAAGATTGTTTACAACCTGCTCTATCTATAGGAATGTTCAACTCTGTGAGTCGAATGCAATCATCACAAAGTAGTTTCTGAGAATGCTTCCATCTAGTTTTTATGTGAAGATTTTCCTTTTCCACCACAGGCCTCAAAGCCCTCCAAATGTCCACTTGCAGATTCTAGAAAAAGAGGGTTTCAGAGCTGCTCTGTCAAGAGGAAAGTTCAATTCTTGAAGTGGAACACAAACATCACAAAACAGTTTCTGAGAATGCTTCTGTTTAGTTTTTCTGTGAAGATGAACCCGTTTCCAACGAAATCTTCACAGAGGTCCACATATCCACTTGCAGAATCCAAAGAAAGAGAGTTTCAAAACTGCTCCATCAGCAGGATTGTTCACCTCTGTGAGTTGAATGCAGTCATCACAGGAAACATTCTGAGAATGCTTCTCTCTAGGTTTGATGTGAAGATATACCCGTTTCGAAGGAAGGCCACAAAGTGGTCCAAATATCCACTTGCAGATTCTACAAAAAGAGTGTTTGAAAGCTGAACTATGAAAGGAAGGTTCAACTCTGTGAGTTGAATGCAAACATCACAAAGAAGTTTCTCAGAATGCTTCCGTGTAGTTCTGGGAATTTTATCCCTTTTCCAACGAAATCCTCAGAGAAGTCCAAATATCCACTTGCAGATTCTACAGAAAGTGTGTTTGGAAACTGCGCCATCTAAAGGAATGTTCAGCTCTGTTAGTTCAATGCAATGATCACTAAGAATTGTCTGTGAATGCTTCCGTTTGGTTTTTAGATGAAGTTATTTCCTTTACTACAGTAGGCCTCAAAGCAGTCCAAATCTCCAATCGCAGATTCTACAAAAAGATTGTTTACAACCTGCTCTATCTATAGGAATGTTCAACTCTGTGAGTCGAATGCAATCATCACAAAGTAGTTTCTGAGAATGCTTCCATCTAGTTTTTATGTGAAGATTTTCCTTTTCCACCACAGGCGTCAAAGCCCTCCAAATGTCCACTTGCAGATTCTAGAAAAAGAGGGTTTCAGAGCTGCTCTGTCAAGAGGAAAGTTGAATTGTTGAAGTGGAACACAAACATCACAAAGTAGTTTCTGAGAATGCTTCTGTTTAGTTTTTCTGTGAAGATGAACCCGTTTCCAACGAAATCTTCACAGAGGTCCACATATCAACATGCAGAATCCAAAGAAAGAGAGTTTCAAAAGTGCCCCATCAACAGGATTGTTCACCTCTGTGAGTTGAATGCAGTCATTACAGGAAACATTCTGAGAATGCTTCTGTCTAGGTTTGATGTGAAGATATACCCTTTTCAAAGGAAGGCCACAAAGTGGTCCAAATATCCACTTGCAGATTCTACAAAAAGAGTGTTTGAAAGCTGAACTATGAAAGCAAGGTTCAACTCTGTGAGTTGAATGCAAACATCACAAAGAAGTTTCTCACAATGCTTCCGTGTAGTTCTGGGAAGTTTATCCCGTTTCCAACGAAATCCTCAGAGAAGTCCAAATATCCACTTGCAGATTCTACAGAAAGTGTGTTTGGAAACTGCTCCATCTAAAGGAATGTTCAGCTCTGTTAGTTCAATCCAATGATCACTAAGAATTGTCTGTGAATGCTTCCGTTTGGTTTTTAGATCAAGTTATTTCCTTTACTACAGTAGGGCTCAAAGCAGTGCAAATCTCCAATCGCAGATTCTGCAAAAAGATTGTTTACAACCTGCTCTATCTATAGGAATGTTCAACTATGTGAGTCGAATGCAATCATCACAAAGTAATTTCTGAGAATGCTTCCATCTAGTTTTTATGTGAAGATTTTCCTTTTCCACCACAGGCCTCAAAGCCCTCCAAATGTCCACTTGCAGATTCTAGAATAAGAGGGTTTCAGAGCTGCTCTGTCAAGAGGAAAGTTCAATTCCTGAAGTGGAACACAAACATCACAAAGCAGTTTCTGAGAATGCTTCTGTTTAGTTTTTCTGTGAAGATGAACCCGTTTCCAACGAAATCTTCACAGAGGTCCACATATCCACTTGCAGAATCCAAAGAAAGGGAGTTTCAAAACTGCTCCATCAGCAGGATTGTTCACCTCTGTGAGTTGAATGCAGTCATCACAGGAAACATTCTGAGAATGCTTCTGTCTAGGTTTGATGTGAAGATATACCCGTTTCGAAGGAAGGCCACAAAGTGGTCCAAATATCCAGTTGCAGATTCTACAAAAAGAGTGTTTGAAAGCTGAACTATGAAAGCAAGGTTCAACTCTGTGAGTTGAATGCAAACATCACAAAGAAGTTTCTCAGCATGCTTCCGTGTAGTTCTGGGAAGTTTATCCCGTTTCCAACGAAATCCTCAGAGAGGTCCAAATATCCACTTGCAGATTCTACAGAAAGTGTGTTTGGAAACTGCTCCATCTAAAGGAATGTTCAGCTCTGTTAGTTCAATCCAATGATCACTAAGAATTGTCTGTGAATGCTTCCGTTTGGTTTTTAGATGAAGTTATTTCCTTTACTACAGTAGGCCTCAAAGCAGTCCAAATCTTCAATCTCAGATTCTACAAAAAGATTGTTTACAACCTGCTCTATCTATAGGAATGTTCAACTCTGTGAGTCGAATGCAATCATCACAAAGTAGTTTCTGAGAATGCTTCCATCTAGTTTTTATGTGAAGATTTTCCTTTTCCACCACAGGCCTCAAAGCCCTCCAAATGTCCACTTGCAGATTCTAGAAAAAGAGGGTTTCAGAGCTGCTCTGTCAAGAGGAAAGTTCAATTCTTGAAGTGGAACACAAACATCACAAAGCAGTTTCTGAGAATGTTCCTGTTTAGTTTTTCTGTGAAGATGAACCCGTTTCCAACGAAATCTTCACAGAGGTCCACATATCCACTTGCAGAATCCAAAGAAAGAGAGTTTCAAAACTGCTCCATCAGCAGGATTGTTCCCCTCTGTGAGTTGAATGCAGTCATCTCAGGAAACATTCTGAGAATGTTTCTGTCTAGGTTTGATGCGAAGATATACCCGTTTCGAAGGAAGGCCAAAAAGTGGTCCAAATATTCACTTGCAGATTCTACAAAAAGAGTGTTTGAAAGCTGAACTATGAAAGCAAGATTCAACTCTGTGAGTTGAATGCAAACATCACAAAGAAGTTTCTCAGAATGCTTCCGTGTAGTTCTGGGAATTTATCCCGTTTCCAACGAAATCCTCAGAGAGGTCCAAATATCCAGTTGCAGATTCTACAGAAAGTGTGTTTGGAATATGCTCCATCTAAAGGAATGTTCAGCTCTGTTAGTTCAATCCAATGATCACTAAGAATTCTCTGTGAATGCTTCCGTTTGGTTTTTAGATGAAGTTATTTCCTTTACTTCAGTAGGCCTCAAAGCAGTCCAAATCTCCAATCGCAGATTCTACAAAAAGATTGTTTACAACCTGCTCTATCTATAGGAATGTTCAACTCTGTGAGTCGAATGCAATCATCACAAAGTAGTTTCTGAGAATGATTCCATCTAGTTTTTATGTGAAGATTTTCTTTTTCCACCACAGGCCTCAAAGCCCTCCAAATGTCCACTTGCAGATTCTAGAAAAAGAGGGTTTCAGAGCTGCTCTGTCAAGAGGAAAGTTCAATTCCTGAAGTGGAACACAAACATCACAAAGCAGTTTCTGAGAATGCTCCTGTTTAGTTTTTCTGTGAAGATGAACCCGTTTCCAACGAAATCTTCACAGAGGTCCACATATCCACTTGCAGAATCCAAAGAAAGAGAGTTTCAAAACTGCTCCATCAGCAGGATTGTTCACCTCTGTGAGTTGAATGCAGTCATCACAGGAAACATTCTGAGAATGCTTCTGTCTAGGTTTGATGTGAAGATATACCCGTTTCGAAGGAAGGCCACAAAGTGGTCCAAATATCCACTTGCAGATTCTACAAAAAGAGTGTTTGAAAGCTGAACTATGAAAGCAAGATTCAACTCTGTGAGTTGAATGCAAACATCACAAAGAAGTTTCTCAGCATGCTTCCGTGTAGTTCTGGGAAGTTTATCCCGTTTCCAACGAAATCCTCAGAGAAGTCCAAATATCCACTTGCAGATTCTCACAGAAAGTGTGTTTGGAAACTGCTCCATCTAAAGGAATGTTCAGCTCTGTTAGTTCAATGCAATGATCACTAAGAATTGTCTGTGAATGCTTCCGTTTGGTTTTTAGATGAAGTTATTTCCATTACTACAGTAGGCCTCAAAGCAGTCCAAATCTCCAATCGCAGATTCTACAAAAAGATTGTTTACAACCTGCTCTATCTATAGGAATGTTCAACTCTGTGAGTCGAATGCAATCATCACAAAGGAGTTTCTGAGAATGTTTCCATCTAGTTTTTATGTGAAGATTTTCCTTTTCCACCACAGGCCTCAAAGCCCTCCAAATGTCCACTTGCAGATTCTAGAAAAAGAGGGTTTCAGAGCTGCTCTGTCAAGAGGAAAGTTCAATTCTTGAAGTGGAACACAAACATCACAAAGTAGTTTCTGAGAATCCTTCTGTTTAGTTTTTCTGTGAAGATGAACCCGTTTCCAACGAAATCTTCACAGAGGTCCACATATCCACTTGCAGAATCCAAAGAAAGAGAGTTTCAAAACTGCTCCATCAGCAGGATTGTTCACCTCTGTGAGTTGAATGCAGTCATCACAGGAAACATTCTGAGAATGCTTCTGTCTAGGTTTGATGTGAAGATATACCCGTTTCGAAGGAAGGCCACAAAGTGGTCCAAATATCCACTTGCAGATTCTACAAAAAGAGTGTTTGAAAGCTGAACTATGAAAGCAAGGTTCAACTCTGTGAGTTGAATGCAAACATCAAAAAGAAGTTTCTCAGCATGCTTCCGTGTAGTTCTGGGAAGTTTATCCCGTTTCCAACGAAATCCTCAGAGAGGTCCAAATATCCACTTGCAGATTCTACAGAAAGTGTGTTTGGAAACTGCGCCATCTAAAGGAATGTTCAGCTGTGTTAGTTCAATGCAATGATCACTAAGAATTGTCTGTGAATGCTTCCGTTTGGTTTTTAGATGAAGTTATTTCCTTTACTACAGTAGGCCTCAAAGCAGTCCAAATCTCCAATCGCAGATTCTACAAAAAGATTGTTTACAACCTGCTCTATCTATAGGAATGTTCAACTCTGTGAGTCGAATGCAATCATCACAAAGTAGTTTCTGAGAATGCTTCCATCTAGTTTTTATGTGAAGATTTTCCTTTTCCACCACAGGCCTCAAAGCCCTCCAAATGTCCACTTGCAGATTCTAGAAAAAGAAGGTTTCAGAGCTGCTCTGTCAAGAGGAAAGTTCAATTCCTGAAGTGGAACACAAACATCACAAAGCAGTTTCTGAGAATGCTTCTGTTTAGTTTTTCTGTGAAGATGAACCCGTTTCCAACGAAATCTTCACAGAGGTCCACATATCCACTTGCAGAATCCAAAGAAAGAGAGTTTCAAAACTGCTCCATCAACAGGATTGTTCACCTCTGTGAGTTGAATGCAGTCATCACAGGAAACATTCTGAGAATGCTTCTGTCTAGGTTTGATGTGAAGATATACCCGTTTCGAAGGAAGGCCACAAAGTGGTCCAAATATCCACTTGCAGATTCTACAAAAAGAGTGTTTGAAAGCTGAACTAAGAAAGCAAGGTTCAACTCTGTGAGTTCAATGCAAACATCACAAAGAAGTTTCTCACAATGCTTCCGTGTAGTTCTGGGAAGTTTATCCCATTTCCAACGAAATCCTCAGAGAAGTCCAAATATCCACTTGCAGATTCTACAGAAAGTGTGTTTGGAAACTGCTCCATCTAAAGGAATGTTCAGCTCTGTTAGTTCAATCCAATGATCACTAAGAATTGTCTGTGAATGCTTCCGTTTGGTTTTTAGATGAAGTTATTTCCTTTACTACAGTAGGCCTCAAAGCAGTCCAAATCTCCAATCGCAGATTCTACAAAAAGACTGTTTACAACCTGCTCTATCTATAGGAATGTTCAACTCTGTGAGTCGAATGCAATCATCACAAAGTAGTTTCTGAGAATGCTTCCATCTAGTTTTTATGTGAAGATTTTCCTTTTCCACCACAGGCCTCAAAGCCCTCCAAATGTCCACTTGCAGATTCTAGAAAAAGAGGGTTTCAGAGCTGCTCTGTCAAGAGGAAAGTTCAATTCTTGAAGTGGAACACAAACATCACAAAGCAGTTTCTGAGAATGCTTCTGTTTAGTTTTTCTGTGAAGACGAACCCTTTTCCAACGAAATCTTCACAGAGGTCCACATATCCACTTGCAGAATCCAAAGAAAGAGAGTTTCAAAACTGCTCCATCAACAGGATTGTTCACCTCTGTGAGTTGAATGCAGTCATCACAGGAAACATTCTGAGAATGCTTCTGTCTAGGTTTGATGTGAAGATATACCCGTTTCGAAGGAAGGCCAAAAAGTGGTCCAAATATCCACTTGCAGATTCTACAAAAAGAGTGTTTGAAAGCTGAACTATGAAAGCAGGTTTCAACTATGTGAGTTGAATGAAAACATCACAAAGAAGTTTCTCACAATGCTTCCGTGTAGTTCTGGGAAGTTTATCCCGTTTCCAACGAAATCCTCAGAGAGGTCCAAATATCCACTTGCAGATTCTACAGAAAGTGTGTTTGGAAACTGCGCCATCTACAGGAATGTTCAGCTCTGTTAGTTCAATGCAATGATCACTAAGAATTGTCTGTGAATGCTTCCGTTTGGTTTTTAGATGAAGTTATTTCCTTTACTACAGTAGGCCTCAAAGCAGTCCAAATCTCCAATCGCAGATTCTACAAAAAGATTGTTTACAACCTGCTCTATCTATACGAATGTTCAACTCTGTGAGTCGAATGCAATCATCACAAAGTAGTTTCTGAGAATGCTTCCATCTAGTTTTTATGTGAAGATTTTCCTTTTCCACCACAGGCCTCAAAGCCCTCCAAATGTCCACTTGCAGATTCTAGAATAAGAGGGTTTCAGAGCTGCTCTGTCAAGAGGAAAGTTCAATTCCTGAAGTGGAACACAAACATCACAAAGCAGTTTCTGAGAATGCTTCTGTTTAGTTTTTCTGTGAAGATGAACTCGTTTCCAACGAAATCTTCACAGAGGTCCACATATCCACTTGCAGAATCCAAAGAAAGGGAGTTTCAAAACTGCTCCATCAGCAGGATTGTTCACCTCTGTGAGTTGAATGCAGTCATCACAGGAAACATTCTGAGAATGCTTCTGTCTAGGTTTGATGTGAAGATATACCCGTTTCGAAGGAAGGCCACAAAGTGGTCCAAATATCCACTTGCAGATTCTACAAAAAGAGTGTTTGAAAGCTGAACTATGAAAGCAAGGTTCAACTCTGTGAGTTGAATGCAAACATCACAAAGAAGTTTCTCAGAATGCTTCCGTGTAGTTCTGGGAAGTTTATCCCGTTTCCAAAGAAATCCTCAGAGAAATCCAAATATCCACTTGCAGATTCTACAGAAAGTGTGTTTGTAAACTGCTCTATCTAAAGGAATGTTCAGCTCTGTTTGTTCAATCCAATGATCACTAAGTATTGTCTGTGAATGCTTCCGTTTGGTTTTTAGATGAAGTTATTTCCTTTACTACAGTAGGCCTCAAAGCAGTCCAAATCTCCAATCGCAGATTCTACAAAAAGATTGTTTACAACCTGCTCTATCTATAGGAATGTTCAACTCTGTGAGTCGAATGCAATCATCACAAAGTAGTTTCTGAGAATGCTTCCATGTAGTTTTTATGTGAAGATTTTCCTTTTCCACCACAGGCCTCAAAGCCCTCCAAATGTCCACTTGCAGATTCTAGAAAAAGAGGGTTTCAGAGCTGCTCTGTCAAGAGGAAAGTTCAATTCTTGAAGTGGAACACAAACATCACAAAGCAGTTTCTGAGAATGATTCTGTTTAGTTTTTCTGTGAAAATGAACCCGTTTCCAACGAAATCTTCACAGAGGTCCACAAATCCACTTGCAGAATCCAAAGAAAGAGAGATTCAAAACTGCTCCATCAACAGGATTGTTCACCTCTGTGAGTTGAATGCAGTCATCACAGGAAACATTCTGAGAATGCTTCTGTCTAGGTTTGATGTGAAGATATACCCGTTTCGAAGGAAGGCCAGAAAGTGGTCCAAATATCCACTTGCAGATTCTACAAAAAGAGTGTTTGAAAGCTGAACTATGAAAGCAAGGTTCAACTCTGTGAGTTGAATGCAAACATCACAAAGAAGTTTCTCAGAATGCTTCCGTGTAGTTCTGGGAAGTTTATCCCGTTTCCAACGAAATCCTCAGAGAGGTCCAAATATCCACTTGCAGATTCTACAGAAAGTGTGTTTGGAAACTGCGCCATCTAAAGGAATGTTCAGCTCTGTTAGTTCAATCCAATGATCACTAAGAATTGTCTGTGAATGCTTCCGTTTGGTTTTTAGATGAAGTTATTGCCTTTACTACAAGTAGGCCTCAAAGCAGTCCAAATCTCCAATCGCAGATTCTACAAAAAGATTGTTTACAACCTGCTCTATCTATAGGAATGTTCAACTCTGTGAGTCGAATGCAATCATCACAAAGTAGTTTCTGAGAATGCTTCCATCTAGTTTTTATGTGAAGATTTTCCTTTTCCACCACAGGCCTCAAAGCCCTCCAAATGTCCACTTGCAGATTCTAGAAAAAGAGGGTTTCAGAGCTGCTCTGTCAAGAGGAAAGTTCAATTCTTGAAGTGGAACACAAACATCACAAAGCATTTTCTGAGAATGCTTCTGTTTAGTTTTTCTGTGAAGATGAACCCGTTTCCAACGAAATCTTCACAGAGGTCCACATATCCACTTGCAGAATCCAAAGAAAGAGAGTTTCAAAACTGCTCCATCAGCAGGATTGTTCACCTCTGTGAGTTGAATGCAGTCATCACAGGAAACATTCTGAGAATGCTTCTGTCTAGGTTTGATGTGAAGATATACCCGTTTCGAAGGAAGGCCACAAAGTGGTCCAAATATCCACTTGCAGATTCTACAAAAAGAGTGTTTGAAAGCTGAACTATGAAAGCAAGGTTCAACTCTGTGAGTTGAATGCAAACATCACAAAGAAGTTTCTCAGAAAGCTTCCGTGTAGTTCTGGGAAGTTTATCCCGTTTCCATCGAAATCCTCAGAGAGGTCCAAATATCCACTTGCAGATTCTACAGAAAGTGTGTTTGGAAACTGCGCCATCTAAAGGAATGTTCAGCTCTGTTAGTTCAATGCAATGATCACTAAGAATGATCTGTGAATGCTTCCGTTTGGTTTTTAGATGAAGTTATTTCCTTTACTACAGTAGGCCTCAAAGCAGTCCAAATCTCCAATCGCAGATTCTACAAAAAGATTGTTTACAACCTGCTCTATGTATAGGAATGTTCAACTCTGTGAGTCGAATGCAATCATCACAAAGTAGTTTCTGAGAATGCTTCCATCTAGTTTTTATGTGAAGATTTTCCTTTTCCACCACAGGCCTCAATGCCCTCCAAATGTCCACTTGCAGATTCTAGAAAAAGAGGGTTTCAGAGCTGCTCTGTCAAGAGGAAAGTTCAATTCTTGAAGTGGAACACAAACATCACAAAGCAGTTTCTGAGAATGCTTCTGTTTAGTTTTTCTGTGAAGATGAACCCGTTTCCAACGAAATCTTCACAGAGGTCCACATATCCACTTGCAGAATCCAAAGAAAGAGAGTTTCAAAACTGCTCCATCAGCAGGATTGTTCACCTCTGTGAGTTGAATGCAGTCATCACAGGAAACATTCTGAGAATGCTTCTGTCTAGGTTTGATGTGAAGATATACCCGTTTCGAAGGAAGGCCACAAAGTGGTCGAAATATCCACTTGCAGATTCTACAAAAAGAGTGTTTGAAAGCTGAACTAGGAAAGCAAGGTTCAACTCGGTGAGTTGAATGCAAACATCACAAAGCAAGTTTCTCAGAATGCTTCCGTGTAGTTCTGGGAAGTTTATCCCGTTTCCAACGAAATCCTCAGAGAGGTCCAAATATCCACTTGCAGATTCTACAGAAAGTGTGTTTGGAAACTACGCCATCTAAAGGAATGTTCAGCTCTGTTAGATCAATGCAATGATCACTAAGAATTGTCTGTGAATGCTTCCGTTTGGTTTTTAGATGAAGGTATTTCCTTTACTACAGTAGGCCTCAAAGCAGTCCAAATCTCCAATCGCAGATTCTACAAAAACATTGTTTACAACCTGCTCTATCTATAGGAATGTTCAACTCTGTGAGTCGAATGCAATCATCACAAAGTAGTTTCTGAGAGTGCTTCCATCTAGTTTTTATGTGAAGATTTTCCTTTTCCACCACAGGCCTCAAAGCCCTCCCAATGTCCACTTGCAGATTCTAGAAAAAGAGGGTTTCAGAGCTGCTCTGTCAAGAAGAAAGTTCAATTCTTGAAGTGGAACACAAACATCATAAAGCAGTTTCTGAGAATGCTCCTGTTTAGTTTTTCTGTGAAGATGAACCCGTTTCCAACGAAATCTTCACAGAGGTCCACATATCCACTTGCAGAATCCAAAGAAAGAGAGTTTCAAAACTGCTCCATCAGCAGGATTGTTCCCCTCTGTGAGTTGAATGCAGTCATCTCAGGAAACATTCTGAGAATGTTTCTGTCTAGGTTTGATGCGAAGATATACCCGTTTCGAAGGAAGGCCAAAAAGTGGTCCAAATATTCACTTGCAGATTCTACAAAAAGAGTGTTTGAAAGCTGAACTATGAAAGCAAGATTCAACTCTGTGAGTTGAATGCAAACATCACAAAGAAGTTTCTCAGAATGCTTCTGTGTAGTTCTGGGAAGTTTATCCCGTTTCCAACGAAATCCTCAGAGAGGTCCAAATATCCACTTGCAGATTCTACAGAAAGTGTGTTTGGAAACTGCTCCATCTAAAGGAATGTTCAGCTCTGTTAGTTCAATCCAATGATCACTAAGAATTGTCTGTGAATGCTTCCGTTTGGTTTTTAGATGAAGTTATTTCATTTACTACAGTAGGACTCAAAGCAGTCCAAATCTCCAATCGCAGATTCTACAAAAAGATTGTTTACAACCTGCTCTAACTATAGGAATGTTCAACTCTGTGAGTCGAATGCAATCATCACAAAGTAGTTTCTGAGAATGCTTCCATCTAGTTTTTATGTGAAGATTTTCCTTTTCCACCACAGGCCTCAAAGCCCTCCAAATGTCCACTTGCAGATTCTAGAAAAAGAGGGTTTCAGAGCTGCTCTGTCAAGAGGAAAGTTCAATTCTTGAAGTGGAACACAAACATCACAAAGTAGTTTCTGAGAATGCTCCTGTTTAGTTTTTCTGTGAAGATGAACCCGTTTCCAACGAAATCTTCACAGAGGTCCACATATCCACTTGCAGAATCCAAAGAAAGAGAGTTTCAAAACTGCTCCATCAGCAGGATTGTTCACCTCTGTGAGTTGAATGCAGTCATCACAGGAAAACATTCTGAGAATGCTTCTGTCTAGGTTTGATGTGAAGATATACCCGTTTCGAAGGAAGGCCACAAAGTGGTCCAAATATCCACTTGCAGATTCTACAAAAAGAGTGTTTGAAAGCTGAACTATGAAAGCAAGGTTCAACTCTGTGAGTTGAATGCAAACATCACAAAGAAGTTTCTCAGAATGCTTCCGTGTAGTTCTGGGAAGTTTATCCCGTTTCCAACGAAATCCTCAGAGAAGTCCAAATATCCACTTGCAGATTCTACAGAAAGTGTGTTTGGAAACTGCGCCATCTAAAGGAATGTTCAGCTCTGTTAGTTCAATGCAATGATCACTAAGAATTGTCTGTGAATGCTTCCGTTTGGTTTTTAGATGAAGTTATTTCCTTTACTACAGTAGGCCTCAAAGCAGTCCAAATCTCCAATCGCAGATTCTACAAAAAGATTGTTTACAACCTGCTCTATGTATAGGAATGTTCAACTCTGTGAGTCGAATGCAATCATCACAAAGTAGTTTCTGAGAATGCTTCCATCTAGTTTTTATGTGAAGATTTTCCATTTCCACCACAGGCCTCAAAGCCCTCCAAATGTCCACTTGCAGATTCTAGAAAAAGAGGGTTTCAGAGCTGCTCTGTCAAGAGGAAAGTTCAATTCTTGAAGTGGAACACAAACATCACAAAGCAGTTTCTGAGAATGCTTCTGTTTAGTTTTTCTGTGAAGATGAACCCGTTTCCAACGAAATCTTCACAGAGGTCCACATATCCACTTGCAGAATCCAAAGAAAGAGAGTTTCAAAACTGCTCCATCAGCAGGATTGTTCACCTCTGTGAGTTGAATGCAGTCATCAGAGGAAACATTCTGAGAATGCTTCTGTCTAGGTTTGATGTGAAGATATACCCGTTTCGAAGGAAGGCCACAAAGTGGTCCAAATATCCACTTGCAGATTCTACAAAAAGAGTGTTTGAAAGCTGAACTATGAAAGCAAGGTTCAACTCTGTGAGTTGAATGCAAACATCACAAAGAAGTTTCTCAGAATGCTTCCGTGTAGTTCTGGGAAGTTTATCCCGTTTCCAAAGAAATCCTCAGAGAGGTCCAAATATCCACTTGCAGATTCTACAGAAAGTGTGTTTGGAAACTGCTCCATCTAAAGGAATGTTCAGCTCTGTTAGTTCAATCCAATGATCACTAAGAATTGTCTGTGAATGCTTCCGTTTGGTTTTAGATGAAGTTATTTCCTTTACTACAGTAGGCCTCAAAGCAGTCCAAATCTCCAATCGCAGATTCTTGAAAAAGATTGTTTACAACCTGCTCTATCTATAGGAATGTTCAACTCTGTGAGTCGAATGCAATCATCACAAAGTAGTTTCTGAGAATGCTTCCATCTAGTTTTTATGTGAAGATTTTCCTTTTCCACCACAGGCCTCAAAGCCCTCCAAATGTCCACTTGCAGATTCTAGAAAAAGAGGGTTTCAGAGCTGCTCTGTCAAGAGGAAAGTTCAATTCTTGAAGTGGAACACAAACATCACAAAGCAGTTTCTGAGAATGTTCCTGTTTAGTTTTTCTGTGAAGATGAACCCGTTTCCAACGAAATCTTCACAGAGGTCCACATATCCACTTGCAGAATCCAAAGAAAGAGAGTTTCAAAACTGCTCCATCAGCAGGATTGTTCACCTCTGTGAGTTGAATGCAGTCATCACAGGAAACATTCTGAGAATGCTTCTGTCTAGGTTTGATGTGAAGATATACCCGTTTCGAAGGAAGGCCACAAAGTGTTCCAAATATCCACTTGCAGATTCTACAAAAAGAGTGTTTGAAAGCTGAACTATGAAAGCAAGGTTCAACTCTGTGAGTTGAATGCAAACATCACAAAGAAGTTTCTCACAATGCTTCCGTGTAGTTCTGGGAAGTTTAGACCGTTTCCAACGAAATCCTCAGAGAGGTCCAAATATCCACTTGCAGATTCTACAGAAAGTGTGTTTAGAAACTGCTCCATCTAAAGGAATGTTCAGCTGTGTTAGAACAATCCAATGATCACTAAGAATTGTCTGTGAATGCTTCCGTTTGGTTTTTAGATGAAGTTATTTCCTTTACTACAGTAGGCCTCAAAGCAGTCCAAATCTCCAATCGCAGATTCTACAAAAGATTGTTTACAACCTGCTCTATCTATAGGAATGTTCAACTCTGTGAGTCGAATGCAATCATCACAAAGTAGTTTCTGAGAATGCTTCCATCTAGTTTTTATGTGAAGATTTTCCTTTTCCACCACAGGCCTCAAAGCCCTTCAAATGTCCACTTGCAGATTCTAGAATAAGAGGGTTTCAGAGCTGCTCTGTCAAGAGGAAAGTTCAATTCCTGAAGTGGAACACAAACATCACAAAGCAGTTTCTGAGAATGCTTCTTTTTAGTTTTTCTGGGAAGATGAACCCGTTTCCAACCAAATCTTCACAGAGGTCCACATATCCACTTGCAGAATCCAAAGAAAGAGAGTTTCAAAACTGCTCCATCAACAGGATTGTTCACCTCTGTGAGTTGAATGCAGTCATCACAGGAAACATTCTGAGAATTCTTCTGTCTAGGTTTGATGTGAAGATATACCCTTTTCAAAGGAAGGCCACAAAGTGGTCCAAATATCCACTTGCAGATTCTACAAAAAGAGTGTTTGAAAGCTGAACTATGAAAGCAAGGTTCAACTCTGTGAGTTGAATGCAAACATCACAAAGAAGTTTCTCACAATGCTTCCGTGTAGTTCTGGGAAGTTTATCCCGTTTCCAACGAAATCCTCAGACAAGTCCAAATATCCACTTGCAGATTCTACAGAAAGTGTGTTTGGAAACTGCTCCATCTAAAGGAATGTTCGGCTCTGTTAGTTCAATGCAATGATCACTAAGAATTGTCTGTGAATGCTTCCGTTTGGTTTTTAGATGAAGTTATTTCCTTTACTACAGTAGGCCTCAAAGCAGTCCAAATCTCCAATCACAGATTCTACAAAAAGACTGTTTACAACCTGCTCTATCTATAGTTATGTTCAACTCTGTGAGTTGAATGCAATCATCACAAAGTAGTTTCTGAGAATGCTTCCATCTAGTTTTTATGTGAAGATTTTCCTTTTCCACCACAGGCCTCAAAGCCCTCCAAATGTCCACTTGCAGATTCTAGAAAAAGAGGGTTTCAGAGCTGCTCTGTCAAGAGGAAAGTTCAATTCTTGAAGTGGAACACAAACATCACAAAGTAGTTTCTGAGAATGCTCCTGTTTAGTTTTTCTGTGAAGATGAACCCGTTTCCAACGAAATCTTCACAGAGGTCCACATATCCACTTGCAGAATCCAAAGAAAGAGAGTTTCAAAACTGCTCCATCAACAGGATTGTTCACATCTGTGAGTTGAATGCAGTCATCACAGGAAACATTCTGAGAATGCTTCTGTCTAGGTTTGATGTGAAGATATACCCGTTTCGAAGGAAGGCCACAAAGTGGTCCAAATATCCACTTGCAGATTCTACATAAAGAGTGTTTGAAAGCTGAACTATGAAAGCAAGGTTCAACTCTGTGAGTGGAATGCAAACATCACAAAGAAGTTTCTCAGAATGCTTCCGTGTAGTTCTGGGAAGTTTATCCCGTTTCCAACGAAATCCTCAGAGAAGTCCAAATATCCACTTGCAGATTCTACAGAAAGTGTGTTTGGAAACTGCGCCATCTAAAGGAATGTTCAGCTCTGTTAGTTCAATGCAATGATCACTAAGAATTGTCTGTGAATGCTTCCGTTTGGTTTTTAGATGAAGTTATTTCCTTTACTACAGTAGGCCTCAAAGCAGTCCAAATCTCCAATCGCAGATTCTACAAAAAGATTGTTTACAACCTGCTCTATCTATAGGAATGTTCAACTCTGTGAGTCGAATGCAATCATCACAAAGTAGTTTCTGAGAATGCTTCCATCTGGTTTTTATGTGAAGATTTTCCTTTTCCACCACAGGCCTCAAAGCCTTCCAAATGTCCACTTGCAGATTCTAGAAAAAGAGGGTTTCAGAGCTGCTCTGTCAAGAGGAAAGTTCAATTCCTGAAGTGGAACACAAACATCACAAAGCAGTTTCTGAGAATGCTCCTGTTTAGTTTTTCTGTGAAGATGAACCCGTTTCCAACGAAATCTTCACAGAGGTCCACATATCCACTTGCGGAATCCAAAGAAAGAGAGTTTCAAAACTGCTCCATCAGCAGGATTGTTCACCTCTGTGAGTTGAATGCAGTCATCACAGGAAACATTCTGAGAATGCTTCTGTCTAGGTTTGATGTGAAGATATACCCGTTTCGAAGGAAGGCCACAAAGTGGTCCAAATATCCACTTGCAGATTCTACAAAAAGAGTGTTTGAAAGCTGAACTATGAAAGCAAGGTTCAACTCTGTGAGTTGAATGCAAACATCACAAAGAAGTTTCTCAGAATGCTTCCCTGTATTTCTGGGAAGCATATCCCGTTTCCAACGAAATCCTCAGAGAAGTCCAAATATCCACTTGCAGATTCTACAGAAAGTGGGTTTGGAAACTGCTCCATCTAAAGGAATGTTCAGCTCTGTTAGTTCAATCCAATGATCACTATGAATTTTCTGTGAATGCTTCCGTTTGGTTTTTAGATGAAGTTATTTCCTTTACTACAGTAGGCCTCAAAGCAGTCCAAATCTCCAATCGCAGATTCTACAAAAAGATTGTTTACAACCTGCTCTATCTATAGGAATGTTCAACTCTGTGAGTCGAATGCAATCATCACAAAGTAGTTTCTGAGAATGCTTCCATCTAGTTTTTATGTGAAGATTTTCCTTTTCCACCACAGGCCTCAAAGCCCTCCAAATGTCCACTTGCAGATTCTAGAAAAAGAGGGTTTCAGAGCTGCTCTATCAAGAGGAAAGTTCAATTCCTGAAGTGGAACACAAACATCACAAAGCAGTTTCTGAGAATGCTCCTGTTTAGTTTTTCTGTGAAGAGGAACCCGTTTCCAACGAAATCTTCACAGAGGTCCACATATCCACTTGCAGAATCCAAAGAAAGAGAGTTTCAACACTGCTCCATCAGCAGGATTGTTCACCTCTGTGAGTTGAATGCAGTCATCACAGGAAACATTCTGAGAATGCTTCTGTCTAGGTTTGATGTGAAGATATACCCGTTTCGAAGGAAGGCCACAAAGTGGTCCAAATATCCACTTGCAGATTCTACAAAAAGAGTGTTTGAAAGCTGAACTATGAAAGCAAGGTTCAACTCTGTGAGTTGAATGCAAACATCACAAAGAAGTTTCTCAGAATGCTTCCGTGTAGTTCTGGGAAGTTTATCCCGTTTCCAACGAAATCCTCAGAGAAGTCCAAATATCCACTTGCAGATTCTACAGAAAGTGTGTTTGGAAACTGCTCCATCTAAAAGAATGTTCAGCTCTGTTAGTTCAATGCAATGATCACTAAGAATTGTCTGTGAATGCTTCCGTTTGGTTTTTAGATGAAGTTATTTCCTTTACTACAGTAGGCCTCAAAGCAGTCCAAATCTCCAATCGCAGATTCTACAAAAACATTGTTTACAACCTGCTCTATCTATAGGAATGTTCAACTCTGTGAGTCGAATGCAATCATCACAAAGTAGTTTCTGAGAATGCTTCCATCTAGTTTTTATGTGAAGATTTTCCTTTTCCACCACAGGCCTCAAAGCCCTCCAAATGTCCACTTGCAGATTCTAGAAAAAGAGGGTTTCAGAGCTGCTCTGTCAAGAGGAAAGTTCAATTCTTGAAGTGGAACACAAACATCACAAAGTAGTTTCTGAGAATGCTTCTGTTTAGTTTTTCTGTGAAGATGAACCCGTTTCCAACGAAATCTTCACAGAGGTCCACATATCCACTTGCAGAATCCAAAGAAAGAGAGTTTCAAAACTGCTCCATCAGCAGGATTGTTCACCTCTGTGAGTTGAATGCAGTCATCACAGGAAACATTCTGAGAATGCTTCTGTCTAGGTTTGATGTGAAGATATACCCGTTTCGAAGGAAGGCCACAAAGTGGTCCAAATATCCACTTGCAGATTCTACAAAAAGAGTGTTTGAAAGCTGAACTATGAAAGCAAGGTTCAACTCTGTGAGTTGAATGCAAACATCACAAAGAAGTTTCTCAGAATCCTTCCGTGTAGTTCTGGGAAGTTTATCCCGTTTCCATCGAAATCCTCAGAGAGGTCCAAATATCCACTTGCAGATTCTACAAAAAGTGGGTTTGGAAACTGCGCCATCTAAAGGAATGTTCAGCTCTGTTAGTTCACTCCAATGATCACTAAGAATTGTCTGTGAATGCTTCCGTTTGGTTTTTAGATGAAGTTATTTCCTTTACTACAGTAGGCCTCAAAGCAGTCCAAATCTCCAATCGCAGATTCTACAAAAAGATTGTTTACAACCTGCTCTATCTATAGGAATGTTCAACTCTGTGAGTCGAATGCAATCATCACAAAGCAGTTTCTGAGAATGCTTCCATCTAGTTTTTATGTGAAGATTTTCCTTTTCCACCACAGGCCTCAAATCCCTCCAAATGTCCACTTGCAGATTCTAGAAAAAGAGGGTTTCAGAGCTGCTCTGTCAAGAGGAAAGTTCAATTCCTGAAGTGGAACACAAACATCACAAAGCAGTTTCTGAGAATGCTTCTGTTTAGTTTTTCTGTGAAGATGAACCCGTTTCCAACGAAATCTTCACAGAGGTCCTCATATCAACTTGCAGAATCCAAAGAAAGAGAGTTTCAAAAGTGCTCCATCAACAGGATTGTTCACCTCTGTGAGTTGAATGCAGTCATCACAGGAAACATTCTGAGAATGCTTCTGTCTAGGTTTGATGTGAAGATATACCCGTTTCGAAGGAAGGCCACAAAGTGGTCCAAATATCCACTTGCAGATTCTACAAAAAGAGTGTTTGAAAGCTGAATTATGAAAGCAAGGTTCAACTCTGTGAGTTGAATGCAAACATCACAAAGAAGTTTCTCAGAATGCTTCCGTGTAGTTCTGGGAAGTTTATCCCGTTTCCAACGAAATCCTCAGAGAAGTCCAAATATCCACTTGCAGATTCTACAGAAAGTGGGTTTGGAAACTGCTCCATCTAAAGGAATGTTCAGCTCTGTTAGTTCAATCCAATGATCACTAAGAATTGTCTGTGAATGCTTCCGTTTGGTTTTTAGATGAAGTTATTTCCTTTACTACAGTAGGCCTCAAAGCAGTCCAAATCTCCAATCGCAGATTCTACAAAAAGATTGTTTACAACCTGCTCTATCTATAGGAATGTTCAACTCTGTGAGTCGAATGCAATCATCACAAAGTAGTTTCTGAGAATGCTTCCATCTAGTTTTTATGTGAAGATTTTCCTTTTCCACCACAGGCCTCAAAGCCCTCCAAATGTCCACTTGCAGATTCTAGAATAAGAGGGTTTTAGAGCTGCTCTGTCAAGAGGAAAGTTCAATTCCTGAAGTGGAACACAAACATCACAAAGCAGTTTCTGAGAATGCTTCTGTTTAGTTTTTCTGTGAAGATGAACCCGTTTCCAACGAAATCTTCACAGAGGTCCAAATATCCACTTGCAGAATCCAAAGAAAGAGAGTTTCAAAACTGCTCCATCAGCAGGATTGTTCACCTCTGTGAGTTGAATGCAGTCATCACAGGAAACATTCTGAGAATGCTTCTGTCTAGGTTTGATGTGAAGATATACCCGTTTCGAAGGAAGGCCACAAAGTGGTCCAAATATCCACTTGCAGATTCTACAAAAAGAGTGTTTGAAAGCTGAACTATGAAAGCAAGGTTCAACTCTGTGAGTTGAATGCAAACATCACAAAGAAGTTTCTCACAATGCTTCCGTGTAGTTCTGGGAAGTTTATCCCGTTTCCAACGAAATCCTCAGAGAAGTCCAAATATCCACTTGCAGATTCTACAGAAAGTGTGTTTGGAAAATGCTCCATCTAAAGGAATGTTCAGCTCTGTTAGTTCAATGCAATGATCACTAAGAATTGTCTGTGAATGCTTCCGTTTGGTTTTTAGATGAAGTTATTTCCTTTACTACAGTAGGCCTCAAAGCAGTCCAAATCTCCAATCGCAGATTCTACAAAAAGATTGTTTACAACCTGCTCTATGTATAGGAATGTTCAACTCTGTGAGTCGAATGCAATCATCACAAAGTAGTTTCTGAGAATGCTTCCATCTAGTTTTTATGTGAAGATTTTCCTTTTCCACCACAGGCCTCAAAGCCCTCCAAATGTCCACTTGCAGATTCTAGAAAAAGAGGGTTTCAGAGCTGCTCTGTCAAGAGGAAAGTTCAATTCTTGAAGTGGAACACAAACATCACAAAGCAGTTTCTGAGAATGCTCCTGTTTAGTTTTTCTGTGAAGATGAACCCGTTTCCAACGAAATCTTCACAGAGGTTCACATATCCACTTGCAGAATCCAAAGAAAGAGAGTTTCAAAACTGCTCCAACAGCAGGATTGTTCACCTCTGTGAGTTGAATGCAGTCATCACAGGAAACATTCTGAGAATGCTTCTGTCTAGGTTTGATGTGAAGATATACCCGTTTCGAAGGAAGGCCACAAAGTGGTCCAAATATCCACTTGCAGATTCTACAAAAAGAGTGTTTGAAAGCTGAACTATGAAAGCAAGGTACAACTCTGTGAGTTGAATGCAAACATCACAAAGAAGTTTCTCACAATGCTTCCGTGTAGTTCTGGGAAGTTTATCCCGTTTCCAACAAAATCCTCAGAGAGGTCCAAATATCCACTTACAGATTCTACAGAAAGTGTGTTTGGAAACTGCTCCATCTAAAGGAATGTTCAGCTCTGTTAGTTCAATCCAATGATCACTAAGAATTGTCTGTGAATGCTTCCGTTTGGTTTTTAGATGAAGTTATTTCCTTTACTACAGTAGGCCTCAAAGCAGTCCAAATCTCCAATCGCAGATTCTACAAAAAGATTGTTTACAACCTGCTCTATCTATAGGAATGTTCAACTCTGTGAGTCGAATGCAATCATCACAAAGTAGTTTCTGAGAATGCTTCCATCTAGTTTTTATGTGAAGATTTTCCTTTTCCACCACAGGCCTCAAAGCCCTCCAAATGTCCACTTGCAGATTCTAGAATAAGAGGGTTTTAGAGCTGCTCTGTCAAGAGGAAAGTTCAATTCCTGAAGTGGAACACAAACATCACAAAGCAGTTTCTGAGAATGCTTCTGTTTAATTTTTCTGTGAAGATGAACCCGTTTCCAACGAAATCTTCACAGAGGTCCACATATCCACTTGCAGAATCCAAAGAAAGAGAGTTTCAAAACTGCTCCATCAGCAGGATTGTTCACCTCTGTGAGTTGAATGGAGTCATCACAGGAAACATTCTGAGAATGCTTCTGTCTAGGTTTGATGTGAAGATATACCCGTTTCGAAGGAAGGCCACAAAGTGGTCCAAATATCCACTTGCAGATTCTACAAAAAGAGTGTTTGAAAGCTGAACTATGAAAGCAAGGTTCAACTCTGTGAGTTGAATGCAAACATCACAAAGAAGTTTCTCAGAATGCTTCCCTGTAGTTCTGGGAAGTTTATCCCGTTTCCAACGAAATCCTCAGAGAAGTCCAAATATCCACTTGCAGATTCTACAGAAAGTGTGTTTGGAAACTGCTCCATCTAAAGGAATGTTCAGCTCTGTTAGTTCAATCCAATGATCACTAAGAATTGTCTGTGAATGCTTCCGTTTGGTTTTTAGATGAAGTTATTTCCTTTACTACAGTAGACCTCAAAGCAGTCCAAATCTCCAATCGCAGATTCTACAAAAAGATTGTTTACAACCTGCTCTATCTATAGGAATGTTCAACTCTGTGAGTCAAATGCAATCATCACAAAGTAGTTTCTGAGAATGCTTCCATCTAGTTTTTATGTGAAGATTTTCCTTTTCCACCACAGGCCTCAAACCCCTCCAAATGTCCACTTGCAGATTCTAGAAAAAGAGGGTTTCAGAGCTGCTCTGTCAAGAGGAAAGTTCAATTCTTGAAGTGGAACACAAACATCACAAAGCAGTTTCTGAGAATGCTTCTGTTTAGTTTTTCTGTGAAGATGAACCCGTTTCCAACGAAATCTTCACAGAGGTCCACATATCCACTTGCAGAATCCAAAGAAAGAGAGTTTCAAAACTGCTCCATCAGCAGGATTGTTCACCTCTGTGAGTTGAATGCAGTCATCACAGGAAACATTCTGAGAATGCTTCTGTCTAGGTTTGATGTGAAGATATACCCGTTTCGAAGGAAGGCCACAAAGTGGTCCAAATATCCACTTGCAGATTCTACAAAAAGAGGGTTTGAAAGCTGAACTATGAAAGCAAGGTTCAACTCTGTGAGTTGAATGCAAACATCACAAAGAAGTTTCTCAGAATGCTTCCGTGTAGTTCTGGGAAGTTTATCCCGTTTCCAACGAAATCCTCAGAGAAGTCCAAATATCCACTTGCAGATTCTACAGAAAGTGTGTTTGGAAACTGCTCCATCTAAAGGAATGTTCAGCTCTGTTAGTTCAATCCAATGATCACTAAGAATTGTCTGTGAATGCTTCCGTTTGGTTTTTAGATGAAGTTTTTTCCTTTACTACAGTAGGCCCCAAAGCACTCCAAATCTCCAATCGCAGATTCTACAAAAAGATTGTTTACAACCTGCTCTATCTATAGGAATGTTCAACTCTGTGAGTCGAATGCAATCATCACAAAGTAGTTTCTGAGAATGCTTCCATCTAGTTTTTATGTGAAGATTTTCCTTTTCCACCACAGGCCTCAAAGCCCTCCAAATGTCCACTTGCAGATTCTAGAATAAGAGGGTTTCAGAGCTGCTCTGTCAAGAGGAAAGTTCAATTCCTGAAGTGGAACACAAACATCACAAAGCAGTTTCTGAGAATGCTCCTGTTTAGTTTTACTGTGAATATGAACCCGTTTCCAACGAAATCTTCACAGAGGTCCACATATCCACTTGCAGAATCCAAAGAAAGAGAGTTTCAAAACTGCTCCATCAGCAGGATTGTTCACCTCTGTGAGTTGAATGCGGTCATCACAGGAAACATTCTGAGAATGCTTCTGTCTAGGTTTGATGTGAAGATATACCCGTTTCGAAGGAAGGCCACAAAGTGGTCCAAATATCCACTTGTAGATTCTACAAAAAGAGTGTTTGAAAGCTGAACTATGAAAGCAAGGTTCAACTCTGTGAGTTGAATGCAAACATCACAAAGAAGGTTCTCAGAATACTTCCGTGTAGTTCTGGGAAGTTTATCCCGTTTCCAACAAAATCCTCAGAGAGGTCCAAATATCCACTTGCAGATTCTACAGAAAGTGTGTTTGGAAACTGCTCCATCTAAAGGAATCTTCAGCTCTGTTAGTTCAATCCAATGATCACTAAGAATTGTCTGTGAATGCCTCCGTTTGGTTTTTAGATGAAGTTATTTCCTTTACTACAGTAGGCCTCAAAGCAGTCCAAATCTCCAATCGCAGATTCTACAAAAAGATTGTTTACAACCTGCTCTATCTATAGGAATGTTCAACTCTGTGAGTCGAATGCAATGATCACAAAGTAGTTTCTGAGAATGCTTCCATCTAGTTTTTATGTGAAGATTTTCCTTTTCCACCACAGGCCTCAAAGCCCTCCAAATGTCCACTTGCAGATTCTAGAAAAAGAGGGTTTCAGAGCTGCTCTGTCAAGAGGAAAGTTCAATTCTTGAAGTGGAACACAAACATCACAAAGCAGTTTCTGAGAATGTTTCTGTTTAGTTTTTCTGTGAAGATGAACCCGTTTCCAACGAAATCTTCACAGAGGTCCACATATCCACTTGCAGAATCCAAAGAAAGAGAGTTTCAAAACTGCTCCATCAGCAGGATTGTTCACCTCTGTGAGTTGAAAGCAGTCATCACAGGAAACATTCTGAGAATGCTTCTGTCTAGGTTTGATGTGAAGATATACCCGTTTCGAAGGAAGGCCACAAAGTGGTCCAAATATCCACTTGCAGATTCTACAAAAAGAGTGTTTGAAAGCTGAACTATGAAAGCAAGGTTCAACTCTGTGAGTTGAATGCAAACATCACAAAGAAGTTTCTCAGAATGCTTTCGTGTAGTTCTGGGAAGTTTATCCCTTTTCCAACGAAATCCTCAGAGAGGTCCAAATATCCACTTGCAGATTCTACAGAAAGTGTGTTTGGAAACTGCTCCATCTAAAGGAATGTTCAGCTCTGTTAGTTCAATCCAATGATCACTAAGAATTCTTCTGTGAATGCTTCCGTTTGGTTTTTAGTATGAAGTTATTTCCTTTACTACAGTAGGCCTCAAAGCAGTCCAAATCTCCAATCACAGATTCTACAAAAAGACTGTTTACAACCTGCTCTATCTATAGGAATGTTCAACTCTGTGAGTCGAATGCAATCATCACAAAGTAGTTTCTGAGAATGCTTCCATCTAGTTTTTATGTGAAGATTTTCCTTTTCCACCACAGGCCTCAAAGCCCTCCAAATGTCCACTTGCAGATTCTAGAAAAAGAGGGTTTCAGAGCTGCTCTGTCAAGAGGAAAGTTCAATTCTTGAAGTGGAACAGAAACATCACAAAGCAGTTTCTGGGAATGCTTCTGTTTAGTTTTTCTGTGAAGATGAACCCGTTTCCAACGAAATCTTCACAGAGGTCCACATATCAACTTGCAGAATCCAAAGAAAGAGAGTTTCAAAAGTGCTCCATCAACAGGATTGTTCACCTCTGTGAGTTGAATGCAGTCATCACAGGAAACATTCTGAGAATGCTTCTGTCTAGGTTTGATGTGAAGATATACCCGTTTCGAAGGAAGGCCACAAAGTGGTCCAAATATCCACTTGCAGATTCTACAAAAAGAGTGTTTGAAAGCTGAACTATGAAAGCAAGGTTCAACTCTGTGAGTTGAATGCAAACATCACAAAGAAGTTTCTCACAATGCTTTTCCGTGTAGTTCTGGGAAGTTTATCCCGTTTCCAACGAAATCCTCAGAGAAGTCCAAATATCCACTTGCAGATTCTACAGAAAGTGTGTTTGGAAACTGCTCCATCTAAAGGAATGTTCAGCTCTGTTAGTTCAATCCAATGATCACTAAGAATTGTCTGTGAATACTTCCGTTTGGTTTTTAGATGAAGTTATTTCCTTTACTACAGTAGGCCTCAAAGCAGTCCAAATCTCCAATCGCAGATTCTACAAAAAGATTGTTTACAACCTGCTCTATCTATAGGAATGTTCAACTCTGTGAGTCGAATGCAATCATCACAAAGTAGTTTCTGAGAATGCTTCCATCTAGTTTTTATGTGAAGATTTTCCTTTTCCACCACAGGCCTCAAAGCCCTCCAAATGTCCACTTGCAGATTCTAGAAAAAGAGGGTTTCAGAGCTGCACTGTCAAGAGGAAAGTTCAATTCTTGAAGTGGAACACAAACATCACAAAGCAGTTTCTGAGAATGCTTCTGTTTAGTTTTTCTGTGAAGATGAACCCGTTTCCAACGAAACCTTCACAGAGGTCCACATATCCACTTTCAGAATCCAAAGAAGGAGAGTTTCAAAACTGCTCCATCAGCAGGATTGTTCACCTCTGTGAGTTGAATGCAGTCATCACAGGAAACATTCTGAGAATGCTTCTGTCTAGGTTTGATGTGAAGATATACCCGTTTCGAAGGAAGGCCAAAAAGTGGTCCAAATATCCACTTGCAGATTCTACAAAAAGAGTGTTTGAAAGCTGAACTATGAAAGCAGGTTTCAACTCTGTGAGTTGAATGAAAACATCACAAAGAAATTTCTCACAATGCTTCCGTGTAGTTCTGAAAAGTTTATCCCGTTTCCAACGAAATCCTCAGAGAAGTCCAAATATCCACTTGCAGATTCTACAGAAAGTGGGTTTGGAAACTGCTCCATCTAAAGGAATGTTCAGCTCTGTTAGTTCAAACCAATGATCACTAAGAATTGTCTGTGAATGCTTCCGTTTGGTTTTTAGATGAAGTTATTTCCTTTACTACAGTAGGCCTCAAAGCAGTCCAAATCTCCAATCGCAGATTCTACAAAAAGATTGTTTACAACCTACTCTATCTATAGGTATGTTCAACTCTGTGAGTCGAATGCAATCATCACAAAGTAGTTTCTGAGAATGCTTCCATCTAGTTTTTATGTGAAGATTTTCCTTTTCCACCACAGGCCTCAAAGCCCTTCAAATGTCCACTTGCAGATTCTAGAATAAGAGGGTTTCAGAGCTGCTCTGTCAAGAGGAAAGTTCAATTCCTGAAGTGGAACACAAACATCACAAAGCAGTTTCTGAGAATGCTTCTGTTTAGTTTTTCTGTGAAGCATGAACCCGTTTCCAACGAAATCTTCACAGAGGTCCACATATCCACTTGCAGAATCCAAAGAAAGAGAGTTTCAAAACTGCTCCATCAGCAGGATTGTTCACCTCTGTGAGTTGAATGCAGTCATCACAGGAAACATTCTGAGAATGCTTCTGTCTAGGTTTGATGTGAAGATATACCCGTTTCGAAGGAAGGCCACAAAGTGGTCCAAATATCCACTTGCAGATTCTACAAAAAGAGTGTTTGAAAGCTGAACTATGAAAGCAAGGTTCAACTCTGTGAGTTGAATGCAAACATCACAAAGAAGTTTCTCACAATGCTTCCGTGTAGTTCTGGGAAGTTTATCCCGTTTCCAACGAAATCCTCAGAGAGGTCCAAATATCCACTTGCAGATTCTACAGAAAGTGTGTTTGGAAACTGCGCCATCTAAAGGAATGTTCAGCTCTGTTAGTTCAATGCAATGATCACTAAGGATTGTCTGTGAATGCTTCCGTTTGGTTTTTAGATGCAGTTATTTCCTTTACTACAGTAGGCCTCAAAGCAGTCCAAATCTCCAATCGCAGATTCTACAAAAAGATTGTTTACAACCTGCTCTATCTATAGGAATGTTCAACTCTGTGAGTCAAATGCAATCATCACAAAGTAGTTTCTGAGAATGCTTCCATCTAGTTTTTATGTGAAGATTTTCCTTTTCCACCACAGGCCTCAAAGCCCTCCAAATGTCCACTTGCAGACTCTAGAAAAAGAGGGTTTCAGAGCTGCTCTGTCAAGAGGAAAGTTCAATTCTTGAAGTGGAACACAAACATCACAAAGCAGTTTCTGAGAATGCTCCTGTTTAGTTTTTCTGTGAAGATGAACCCGTTTCCAACGAAATCTTCACAGAGGTCAACATATCCACTTGCAGAATCCAAAGAAAGAGAGTTTCAAAACTGCTCCATCAGCAGGATTGTTCACCTTTGTGAGTTGAATGCAGTCATCACAGGAAACATTCTGAGAATGCTTCTGTCTAGGTTTGATGTGAAGATATACCCGTTTCGAAGGAAGGCCACAAAGTGGTCCAAATATCCACTTGCAGATTCTGCAAAAAGAGTGTTTGAAAGCTGAACTATGAAAGCAAGGTTCAACTCTGTGAGTTGAATGCAAACATCACAAAGAAGTTTCTCAGAATGCTTCCGTGTAGTTCTGGGAAGTTTATCCCGTTTCCAACGAAATCCTCAGAGAAGTCCAAATATCCACTTGCAGATTCTACAGAAAGTGGGTTTGGAAACTGCTCCATCTAAAGGAATGTTCAGCTCTGTTAGTTCAATCCAATGATCACTAAGAATTGTCTGTGAATGCTTCCGTTTGGTTTTTAGATGAAGTTATTTCCTTTACTACAGTAGGCCTCAAAGCAGTCCAAATCTCCAATCGCAGATTCTACAAAAAGATTGTTTACAACCTGCTCTATCTATAGGAATGTTCAACTCTGTGAGTCGAATGCAATCATCACAAAGTAGTTTCTGAGAATGCTTCCATCTAGTTTTTATGGGAAGATTTTCCTTTTCCACCACAGGCCTCAAAGCCCTCCAAATGTCCACTTGCAGATTCTAGAAAAAGAGGGTTTCAGAGCTGCTCTGTCAAGAGGAAAGTTCAATTCTTGAAGTGGAACACAAACATCACAAAGCAGTTTCTGAGAATGCTTCTGTTTAGTTTTTCTGTGAAGATGAACCCGTTTCCAACGAAATCTTCACAGAGGTCCACATATCCACTTGCAGAATCCAAAGAAAGAGAGTTTCAAAACTGCTCCATCAGCAGGATTGTTCACCTCTGTGAGTTGAATGCAGTCATCACAGGAAACATTCTGAGAATGCTTCTGTCTAGGTTTGATGTGAAGATATACCCGTTTCGAAGGAAGGCCACAAAGTGGTCCAAATATCCACTTGCAGATTCTACAAAAAGAGTGTTTGAAAGCTGAACTATGAAAGCAAGGTTCAACTCTGTGAGTTGAATGCAAACATCACAGAGAAGTTTCTCACAATGCTTCCGTGTAGTTCTGGGAAGTTTATCCCGTTTCCAACGAAATCCTCAGAGAGGTCCAAATATCCACTTGCAGAGTCTACAGAAAGTGTGTTTGGAAACTGCGCCATCTAAAGGAATGTTCAGCTCTGTTAGTGCAATCCAATGATCACTAAGAATTGTCTGTGAATGCTTCCGTTTGGTTTTTAGATGAAGTTATTTCCTTTACTACAGTAGGCCTCAAAGAAGTCCAAATCTCCAATCGCAGATTCTACAAAAAGATTGTTTACAACCTGCTCTATCTATAGGAATGTTCAACTCTGTGAGTCGAATGCAATCATCACAAAGTAGTTTCTGAGAATGCTTCCATCTAGTTTTTATGTGAAGATTTTCCTTTTCCACCACAGGGCTCAAAGCCCTCCAAATGTCCACTTGCAGATTCTAGAAAAAGAGGGTTTCAGAGCTGCTCTGTCAAGAGGAAAGTTCAATTCCTGAAGTGGAACACAAACATCACAAAGCAGTTTACTGAGAATGCTTCTGTTTAGTTTTTCTGTGAAGATGAACCCGTTTCCAACGAAATCTTCACAGAGGTCCACATATCCACTTGCAGAATCCAAAGAAAGAGAGTTTCAAAACTGCTCCATCAGCAGGATTGTTCACCTCTGTGAGTTGAATGCAGTCATCACAGGAAACATTCTGAGAATGCTTCTGTCTAGGTTTGATGTGAAGATATACCCGTTTCGAAGGAAGGCCACAAAGTGGTCCAAATATCCACTTGCAGATTCTACAAAAAGAGTGTTTGAAAGCTGAACTATGAAAGCAAGGTTCAACCCTGTGAGGTGAATGCAAGCATCACAAAGAAGTTTCTCAGAATGCTTTCCGTGTAGTTCTGGGAAGTTTATCCCGTTTCCAACGAAATCCTCAGAGAGGTCCAAATATCCACTTGCAGATTCTACAGAAAGTGTGTTTGGAAACTGCTCCATCTAAAGGAATGTTCAGCTCTGTTAGTTCAATCCAATTATCACTAAGAATTGTCTGTGAATGCTTCCGTTTGGTTTTTAGATGAAGTTATTTCCTTTACTACAGTAGGCCTCAAAGCAGTCCAAATCTCCAATCGCAGATTCTACAAAAAGATTGTTTACAACCTGCTCTATCTATAGGAATGTTCAACTCTGTGAGTCGAATGCAATCATCACAAAGTAGTTTCTGAGAATGCTTCCATCTAGTTTTTATGTGAAGATTTTCCTTTTCCACCACAGGCCTCAAAGCCCTCCAAATGTCCACTTGCAGATTCTAGAATAAGAGGTTTTCAGAGCTGCTCTGTCAAGAGGAAAGTTCAATTCCTGAAGTGGAACAAAAACATCACAAAGCAGTTTCTCAGAATGCTTCTGTTTAGTTTTTCTGTGAAGATGAACCCGTTTCCAACGAAATCTTCATAGAGGTCCACATATCCACTTGCAGAATCCAAAGAAAGAGAGTTTCAAAACTGCTCCATCAGAAGGATTGTTCACCTCTGTGAGTTGAATGCAGTCATCACAGGAAACATTCTGAGAATGCTTCTGTCTAGGTTTGATGTGAAGATATACCCGTTTCGAAGGAAGGCCACAAAGTGGTCCAAATATCCACTTGCAGATTCTACAAAAAGAGTGTTTGAAAGCTGAACTATGAAAGCAAGGTTCAACTCTGTGAGTTGAATGCAAACATCACAAAGAAGTTTCTCAGAATGCTTCCGTGTAGTTCTGGGAATTTTATCCCGTTTCCAACGAAATCCTCAGGGAGGTCCAAATATCCACTTGCAGATTCTACAGAAAGTGTGTTTGGAAACTGCGCCATCTAAAGGAATGTTCAGCTCTGTTAGTTCAATGCAATGATCACTAAGAATTGTCTGTGAATGCTTCCGTTTGGTTTTTAGATGAAGTTATTTCCTTTACTACAGTAGGCCTCAAAGCAGTCCAAATCTCCAATCGCAGATTCTACAAAAACATTGTTTACAACCTGCTCTATCTATAGGAATGTTCAACTCTGTGAGTCGAATGCAATCATCACAAAGTAGTTTCTGAGAATGCTTCCATCTAGTTTTTATGTGAAGATTTTCCTTTTCCACCACAGGCCTCAAAGCCCTCCAAATGTCCACTTGCAGATTTTAGAAAAAGTGGGTTTCAGAGCTGCTCTGTCAAGAGGAAAGTTCAATTCTTGAAGTGGAACACAAACATCACAAAGCAGTTTCTGAGAAAGCTACTGTTTAGTTTTTCTTTGAAGATGAAACCGTTTCCAACGAAATCTTCAAATAGGTCCTCATATCCACTTTCAGATTCCAGAGAAAGAGAGATTCAAAACTGCTCCATCAGCAGGATTCTTCACCTCTGTGCGTTGAATGCAGTAATCACAGGAAACATTGTGAGAATGCTTCTGTCTAGGTTTGATGTGAAGATATACCCGTTTCGAAGGAAGGCCACAAAGTGGTCCAAATATCCACTTGCAGATTCTACAAAAAGAGTGTTTGAAAGCTGAACTATGAAAGCAAGGTTCAACCCTGTGAGTTGAATACAAACATCACAAAGAAGTTTCTCACAATGCTTCCGTGTAGTTCTGGGAAGTTTTTCCCTTTTCCAACGAAATCCTCAGTAGAGGTCCAAATATCCACTTGCAGATTCTACAGAAAGTGTGTTTGGAAACTGCGCCATCTAAAGGAATGTTCAGCTCTGTTAGTTCAATCCAATGATAACTAAGAATTGTCTGTGAATGCTTCCGTTTGGTTTTTAGATGAAGTTATTTCCTTTACTACAGTAGGCCTCAAAGCAGTCCAAATCTCCAATCGCAGATTCTACAAAAAGATTGTTTACAACCTGCTCTATCTATAGGAATGTTCAACTCTGTGAGTCGAATGCAATCATCACAAAGTAGTTTCTGAGAATGCTTCCATCTAGTTTTTATGTGAAGATTTTCCTTTTCCACCACAGGCCTCAAAGCCCTCCAAATGTCCACTTGCAGATTCTAGAATAAGAGGGTTTCAGAGCTGCTCTGTCAAGAGGAAAGTTCAATTCCTGAAGTGGAACACAAACATCACAAAGCAGTTTCTGAGAATGCTTCTGTTTAGTTTTTCTGTGAAGATGAACCCGTTTCCAACGAAATCTTCACAGAGGTCCACATATCCACTTGCAGAATCCAAAGAAAGAGAGTTTCAAAACTGCTCCATCAACAGGATTGTTCACCTCTGTGAGTTGAATGCAGTCATCAAAGGAAACATTCTGAGAATGCTTCTGTCTAGGTTTGATGTGAAGATATACCCGTTTCGAAGGAAGGCCACAAAGTGGTCCAAATATCCACTTGCAGATTCTACAAAAAGAGTGTTTGAAAGCTGAACTATGAAAGCAAGGTTCAACTCTGTGAGTTGAATGCAAACATCACAAAAGAATGTTTCTCAGAATGCTTCCGTGTAGTTCTGGGAAGTTTATCCCGTTTCCAACGAAATCCTCAGAGAGGTCCAAATATCCACTTGCAGATTCTACAGAAAGTGTGTTTGGAAACTGCGCCATCTAAAGGAATGTTCAGCTCTGTTAGTTCAATGCAATGATCACTAAGAATTGTCTGTGAATGCTTCCGTTTGGTTTTTAGATGAAGTTATTTCCTTTACTACAGTAGGCCTCAAAGCAGTCCAAATCTCCAATCGCAGATTCTACAAAAAGATTGTTTACAACCTGCTCTATCTATAGGAATGTTCAACTCTGTGAGTCGAATGCAATCATCACAAAGTAGTTTCTGAGAATGCTTCCATCTAGTTTTTATGTGAAGATTTTCCTTTTCCACCACAGGCCTCAAAGCCCTCCAAATGTCCACTTGCAGATTCTAGAAAAAGAGGGTTTCAGAGCTGCTCTGTCAAGAGGAAAGTTCAATTCTTGAAGTGGAACAGAAACATCACAAAGCAGTTTCTGGGAATGCTTCTGTTTAGTTTTTCTGTGTAGATGAACCCGTTTCCAACGAAATCTTCATAGAGGTCCACATATCAACTTGCAGAATCCAAAGAAAGAGAGTTTCAAAACTGCTCCATCAACAGGATTGTTCACCTCTGTGAGTTGAATGCAGTCATCACAGGAAACATTCTGAGAATGCTTCTGTCTAGGTTTGATGTGAAGATATACCCGTTTCGAAGGAAGGCCACAAAGTGGTCCAAATATCCACTTGCAGATTCTACAAAAAGAGTGTTTGAAAGCTGAACTATGAAAGCAAGGTTCAACTCTGTGAGTTGAATGCAAACATCACAAAGAAGTTTCTCAGAATGCTTCCGTGTAGTTCTGGGAAGTATATCCCGTTTCCAACGAAATCCTCAGAGAGGTCCAAATATCCACTTGCAGATTCTACAGAAAGTGGGTTTGGAAACTGCTCCATCTAAAGGAATGTTCAGCTCTGTTAGTTCAATCCAATGATCACTAAGAATTGTCTGTGAATGCTTCCGTTTGGTTTTTAGATGAAGTTATTTCCTTTACTACAGTAGGCCTCAAAGCATTCCAAATCTCCAATCGCAGATTCTACAAAAAGATTGTTTACCACCTGCTCTATGTATAGGAATGTTCAACTCTGTGAGTCGAATGCAATCATCACAAAGTAGTTTCTGAGAATGCTTCCATCTAGTTTTTATGTGAAGATTTTCCTTTTCCACCACAGGCCTCAAAGCCCTCCAAATGTCCACTTGCAGATTCTAGAAAAAGAGGGTTTCAGAGCTGCTCTGTCAAGAGGAAAGTTCAATTCCTGAAGTGGAACACAAACATCACAAAGCAGTTTCTGAGAATGCTCCTGTTTAGTTTTTCTGTGAAGATGAACCCGTTTCCAACGAAATCTTCACAGAGGTCCACATATCCACTTGCAGAATCCAAAGAAAGAGAGTTTCAAAACTGCTCCAACAGCAGGATTGTTCACCTCTGTGAGTTGAATGCAGTCATCACAGGAAACATTCTGAGAATGCTTCTGTCTAGGTTTGATGTGAAGATATACCCGTTTCGAAGGAAGGCCACAAAGTGGTCCAAATATCCACTTGCAGATTCTACAAAAAGAGTGTTTGAAAGCTGAACTATTAAAGCAAGGTTCAACTCTGTGAGTTGAATGCAAACATCACAAAGAAGTTTCTCACAATGCTTCCGTGTAGTTCTGAGAAGTTTATCCCGTTTCCAACGAAATCCTCAGAGAAGTCCAAATATCCACTTGCAGATTCTACAGAAAGTTGGTTTGGAAACTGCTCCATCTAAAGGAATGTTCAGCTCTGTTAGTTCAATCCAATGATCACTAAGAATTGTCTGTGAATGCTTCCGTTTGGTTTTTAGATGAAGTTATTTCCTTTACTACAGTAGGCCTCAAAGCAGTCCAAATCTCCAATCGCAGATTCTACAAAAAGATTGTTTACAACCTGCTCTATCTATAGGAATGTTCAACTCTGTGAGTCGAATGCAATCATCACAAAGTAGTTTCTGAGAATGCTTCCATCTAGTTTTTATGTGAAGATTATCCTTTTCCACCACAGGCCTCAAAACCCTCCAAATGTCCACTTGCAGATTCTAGAATAAGAGGGCTTCAGAGCTGCTCTGTCAAGAGGAAAGTTCAATTCCTGAAGTGGAACAAAAACATCACAAGGCAGTTTCTGAGAATGCTTCTGTTTAGTTTTTCTGTGAAGATGAACCCGTTTCCAACGAAATCTTCACAGAGGTCCACATATCCACTTGCAGAATCCAAAGAAGGAGAGTTTCAAAACTGCTCCATCAGCAGGATTGTTCACCTCTGTGAGTTGAATGCAGACATCACAGGAAACATTCTGAGAATGCTTCTGTCTAGGTTTGATGTGAAGATATACCCGTTTCGAAGGAAGGCCACAAAGTGGTCCAAATATCCACTTGCAGATTCTACAAAAAGAGTGTTTGAAAGCTGAACTATGAAAGCAAGGTTCAACTCTGTGAGTTGAATGCAAACATCACAAAGAAGTTTCTCAGAATGCTTCCGTGTAGTTCTGGGAAGTTTATCCCGTTTCCAAGGAAATCCTCAGAGAAGTCCAAATATCCACTTGCAGATTCTACAGAAAGTGGGTTTGGAAACTGCTCCATCTAAAGGAATGTTCAGCTCTGTTAGTTCAATCCAATGATCACTAAGAATTGTCTGTGAATGCTTCCGTTTGGTTTTTAGATGAAGTTATTTCCTTTACTACAGTAGGCCTCAAAGCAGTCCAAATCTCCAATCGCAGATTCTACAAAAAGATTGTTTACAACCTGCTCTATCTATAGGAATGTTCAACTCTGTGAGTCGAATGCAATCATCACAAAGTAGTTTCTGAGAATGCTTCCATCTAGTTTTTATGTGAAGATTTTCCTTTTCCACCACAGGCCTCAAAGCCCTCCAAATGTCCACTTGCAGATTCTAGAAAAAGAGGGTTTCAGAGCTGCTCTGTCAAGAGGAAAGTTCAATTCTTGAAGTGGAACACAAACATCACAAAGCAGTTTCTGAGAATGCTTCTGTTTAGTTTTTCTGTGAAAATGAACCCGTTTCCAACGAAATCTTCACAGAGGTCCACATATCCACTTGCAGAATCCAAAGAAAGAGAGATTCAAAACTGCTCCATCAACAGGATTGTTCACCTCTGTGAGTTGAATGCAGTCATCACAGGAAACATTCTGAGAATGCTTCTGTCTAGGTTTGATGTGAAGATATACCCGTTTCGAAGGAAGGCCACAAAGTGGTCCAAATATCCACTTGCAGATTCTACAAAAAGAGTGTTTGAAAGCTGAACTATGAAAGCGAGGTTCAACTCTGTGAGTTGAATGCAAACATCACAAAGAAGTTTCTCAGAATGCTTCCGTGTAGTTCTGGGAAGTTTATCCCGTTTCCAACGAAATCCTCAGAGAGGTCCAAATATCCACTTGCAGATTCTACAGAAAGTGTGTTTGGAAACTGCGCCATCTAAAGGAATGTTCAGCTCTGTTAGTTCAATGCAATGATCACTAAGAATTGTCTGTGAATGCTTCCGTTTGGTTTTTAGATGAAGTTATTTCCTTTACTACAGTAGGCCTCAAAGCAGTCCAAATCTCCAATCGCAGATTCTACAAAAAGATTGTTTACAACCTGCTCTATGTATAGGAATGTTCAACTCTGTGAGTCGAATGCAATCATCACAAAGTAGTTTCTGAGAATGCTTCCATCTAGTTTTTATGTGAAGATTTTCCTTTTCCACCACAGGCCTCAAAGCCCTCCAAATGTCCACTTGCAGATTCTAGAATAAGAGGGTTTCAGAGCTGCTCTGTCAAGAGGAAAGTTCAATTCCTGAAGTGGAACACAAACATCACAAAGCAGTTTCTGAGAATGCTTCTGTTTAGTTTTTCTGTGAAGATGAACCCGTTTCCAACGAAATCTTCACAGAGGTCCACATATCCACTTGCAGAATCCAAAGAAAGAGAGTTTCAAAACTGCTCCATCAGCAGGATTGTTCACCTCCGTGAGTTGAATGCAGTCATCACAGGAAACATTCTGAGAATGCTTCTGTCTAGGTTTGATGTGAAGTTATACCCGTTTCGAAGGAAGGCCACAAAGTGGTCCAAATATCCACTTGCAGATTGTACAAAAAGAGTGTTTGAAAGCTGAACTATGAAAGCAAGGTTCAACTCTGTGTGTTGAATGCAAACATCACAAAGAAGTTTCTCAGAATGCTTCCGTGTAGTTCTGGGAAATTTATCCCGTTTCCTACGATATCCTCAGAGAAGTCCAAATATCCACTTGCAGATTCTACAGAAAGTGTGTTTGGAAACTGCTCCATCTAAAGGAATGTTCAGCTCTGTTAGTTCAATCCAATGATCACTAAGAATTGTCTGTGAATGCTTCCGTTTGGTTTTTAGATGAAGTTATTGCCTTTACTACAGTAGGCCTCAAAGCAGTCCAAATCTGCAATCGCAGATTCTACAAAAAGTATGTTTACAACCTGCTCTATCTATAGGAATGTTCAACTCTGTGAGTCGAATGCAATCATCACAAAGTAGTTTCTGAGAATGCTTCCATCTAGTTTTTATGTGAAGATTTTCCTTTTCCACCACAGGCCCCAAAGACCTCCAAATGTCCACTTGCAGATTCTAGAAAAAGAGGGTTTCAGAGCTGCTCTGTCAAGAGGAAAGTTCAATTCTTGAAGTGGAACACAAACATCACAAAGCAGTTTCTGAGAATGCTCCTGTTTAGTTTTTCTGTGAAGATGAACCCGTTTCCAACGAAATCTTCACAGAGGTCCACATATCCACTTGCAGAATCCAAAGAAAGAGAGTTTCAAAACTGCTCCAACAGCAGGATTGTTCACCTCTGTGAGTTGAATGCAGTCATCACAGGAAACATTCTGAGAATGCTTCTGTCTAGGTTTGATGTGAAGATATACCCGTTTCGAAGGAAGGCCACAAAGTGGTCCAAATATCCACTTGCAGATTCTACAAAAAGAGTGTTTGAAAGCTGAACTATGAAAGCAAGGTTCAACTCTGTGAGTTGAATGCAAACATCACAAAGAAGTTTCTCAGAATGCTTCCCTGTAGTTCTGGGAAGTTTATCCCGTTTCCAACGAAATCCTCAGAGAAGTCCAAATATCCACTTGCAGATTCTACAGAAAGTGTGTTTAGAAACTGCTCCATCTAAAGGAATGTTCAGCTCTGTTAGTTCAATCCAATGATCACTAAGAATTGTCTGTGAATGCTTCCGTTTGGTTTTTAGATGAAGTTATTTCCTTTACTACAGTAGGCCTCAAAGCAGTCCAAATCTCCAATCGCAGATTCTACAAAAAGATTGTTTACAACCTGCTCTATCTATAGGAATGTTCAACTCTGTGAGTCGAATGCAATCATCACAAAGTAGTTTCTGAGAATGCTTCCATGTAGTTTTTATGTGAAGATTTTCCTTTTCCACCACAGGCCTCAAAGCCCTCCAAATGTCCACTTGCAGATTCTAGAAAAAGAGGGTTTCAGAGCTGCTCTGTCAAGAGGAAAGTTCAATTCTTGAAGTGGAACACAAACATCACAAAGCAGTTTCTGAGAATGCTCCTGTTTAGTTTTTCTGTGAAGATGTACCCGTTTCCAACGAAATCTTCACAGAGGTCCACATATCCACTTGCAGAATCCAAAGAAAGAGAGTTTCAAAACTGTTCCAACAGCAGGATTGTTCACCTCTGTGAGTTGAATGCAGTCATCACAGGAAACATTCTGAGAATGCTTCTGTCTAGGTTTGATGTGAAGATATACCCGTTTCGAAGGAAGGCCACAAAGTGGTCCAAATATCCACTTGCAGATTCTACAAAAAGAGTGTTTGAAAGCTGAACTATGAAAGCAAGGTTCAACTCTGTGAGTTGAATGCAAACATCACAAAGAAGTTTCTCAGAATGCTTCCGTGTAGTTCTGATAAGTTTATCCCGTTTCCAACGAAATCCTCCGAGAAGTCCAAATATCCACTTGCAGATTCTACAGAAAGTGTGTTTGGAAACTGCTCCATCTAAAGGAATGTTCAGCTCTGTTAGTTCAATCCAATATCACTTAGAATTATCTGTGAATGCTTCCGTTTGGTTTTTAGATGAAGTTATTTCCTTTACTACAGTAGGCCTCAAAGCAGTCCAAATCTCCAATCGCAGATTCTACAAAAAGATTGTTTACAACCTGCTCTATCTATAGGAATGATCAACTCTGTGAGTCGAATGCAATCATCACAAAGGAGTTTCTGAGAATGCTTCCATCTAGTTTTTATGTGAAGATTTTCCTTTTCCACCACAGGCCTCAAAGCCCTCCAAATGTCCACTTGCAGATTCTAGAAAAAGAGGGTTTCAGAGCTGCTCTGTCAAGAGGAAAGTTCAATTCTTGAAGTGGAACACAAACATCACAAAGCAGTTTCTGAGAATGCTCCTGTTTAGTTTTTCTGTGAATATGAACCCGTTTCCACCGAAATCTTAACAGAGGTCCACATATCCACTTGCAGAATCCAAAGAAAGAGAGTTTCAAAACTGCTCCATCAGCAGGATTGTTCAACTCTGTGAGTTGAATGCAGTCATCACAGGAAACATTCTGAGAATGCTTCTGTCTAGGTTTGATGTGAAGATATACCCGTTTCGAAGGAAGGCCACAAAGTGGTCCAAATATCCACTAGCAGATTCTACAAAAAGAGTGTTTGAAAGCTGAACTATGAAAGCAAGTTTCAACTCTGTGAGTTGAATGCAAACATCACAAAGAAGTTTCTCAGAATGCTTCCGTGTAGTTCTGGGAAGTTTATCCCGTTTCCAACGAAATCCTCAGAGAGGTCCAAATATCCACTTGCAGATTCTACAGAAAGTGTGTTTGGAAACTGCGCCATCTAAAGGAATGTTCAGCTCTGTTAGTTCAATGCAATGATCACTAAGAATTGTCTGTGAATGCTTCCGTTTGGTTTTTAGATGAAGTTATTTCCTTTACTACAGTAGGCCTCAAAGCAGTCCAAATCTCCAATCGCAGATTCTACAAAAAGATTGTTTACAACCTGCTCTATCTATAGGAATGTTCAACTCTGTGAGTCGAATGCAATCATCACAAAGTAGTTTCTGAGAATGCTTCCATCTAGTTTTTATGGGAAGATTTTCCTTTTCCACCACAGGCCTCAAAGCCCTCCAAATGTCCACTTGCAGATTCCAGAAAAAGAGGGTTTCAGAGCTGCTCTGTCAAGAGGAAAGTTCAATTCTTGAAGTGGAACACAAACATCACAAAGCAGTTTCTGAGAATGCTCCTGTTTAGTTTTTCTGTGAAGATGAACACGTTTCCAACGAAATCTTCACAGAGGTCCACATATCCACTTGCAGAATCCAAAGAAAGAGAGTTTCAAAACTGCTCCATCAGCAGGATTGTTCACCTCTGTGAGTTGAATGCAGTCATCACAGGAAACATTCTGAGAATGCT